>NC_000001.11:237547757-237699273 GCF_000001405.40 Homo sapiens
ACGATAATACCTTCTCTCTCCAGCCTAGAATGTAGAAGCAGTCTCTGCTAAGAGATCCTTGAACTCTAGGGAAATAAAATGCAATCAGATTTTAGATGGTTATATAGCTGTGATTTTCTTTACTTTCTAGTCTCTATCTTATTTAGTCTTCCTAAATAACGTAACTAGGAATGACAGTAAGGAAATAAGTTACAAATGCATTTAAATTTCCCTGTGGAATAAGAAATAGGTAGTATCTGAAGGATACACTGATTTATGAAATAAATATTACATTAATCTAACATTTAACAATTGAAGAAAAATGACTTCACAGGAAGAGAAATCTCTAAAATATTTCAATAAATAACCAATATTTTGATTTAGACTATACAAAAGCCTCAGCTATTAGGAACACAAACAATGACAGGTCCTTTTCATCTCTGAGAGACAGGTAAGTTGTCTCATTTCTGTCTTATTGGTGTAAAAACAAAAACACAAAGATTATGTGGCTTTTCATTCTGATCAGTTATTAGCTAAAGTGAAAGGAACCTAGGCTTGCTGTCTGGTACTTCACCACTGGTTACCACTGTGGTTTATGGAAGAACAGTAATGAGGTAGGGCCAGAAAATGATATTTACAGAGATTTTTATGAAAAGGCCAATTATACACAAATTTCTTTGTCTCTGATTTGTAGTTACCAGCTGACAAGTGGATACAAGCCTGCCCCTATGGACCTGAGCTTTATCAAACTCACCCCATCACAAGAAGCAATGGTGGACAAGTTGGCAGAAAATGCACATAATGTGTGGGCGCGGGATCGAATCCGGCAGGGCTGGACTTATGGCATCCAACAGGTACATGGGAATTAGCATTTGGTCTGAGACTTACTTAAGTGGGAATTAGCATAATTTGTAACAGGAAGGATTACATAATGACTATTTTAAAACTTGTATCATATAGATCACATATAGTGCACATTTGGACTAAAACAGCTGTTTAATGCTAGACTCAAGAATTTACATGACCTTAGTTCTGGCTGTGATCGTGAACACATGTGAGGCACACAATGAATAATACTACACTGGTGACTTATAATATGGTTTTGTGGTATTTCTCTCTCTGAGACTGTATTTTAGGAGAAACTTTTGAAATGTAAGAAGACTGGGATAAAGTGATAATAAAATGGGTTCACCATCCCTTATTCACAACCCCTGGGGCCACATAAATTTCAGAATTCAGTCTTTTTATTTGGTTTTCAGAATGGTGATTTGAGGATATATTACATGTATATACATAACAACCTTGGTAGGGCAAGTGACTTCAAATTGCAATTCATTCCGCACAAGGGAGGCATGGTCATACCAAAGAGGGGTAAAGGCCATAAACAGCCTCGCATCAGTTCAGGTTTCACCACTGAGTTACTGTTGCAGATCATTTTGCTCTAGGCATCAGTAGATATTCAGGTATTTGGGTATTAAGGTATTCAGGATTAGGTATTCAGTACAAATTTGCCTGAAAGAGGGAAGGAAGAAAAGACAAGACAAAACAGTATTTCTGGCTGGGCGGGGTGGCTCACACTTGTAATCCCAGCACTTTGGGAGGCTAAGGTGGGAGGACTGCTTGAGCCTGGGAGTTTGAGACCAGCCTGGGCAACATAGTGAGAGACCGTCTCTACAAAAAATTAAAAAATTAGCTGGGCATGGGGCACATGCCTGTAGTCCCAGCTACTCAGGGGGCTGAGGTGGGAGGATCACTTGAGCCCAGGAGGTTGAGGCTGCAGTGAGACTCTGTTTCAAAACAACAACAAAAACAACAAAACAACAACAACACAGTATTTACAGTATTTATTCTCTGGTTTACCAGAACAACCCCTGTGTGATTCCATAGCTTTCTTTTTTTTTTTTTTTTTTTTTTTTTTTTAACTCTTGGGAGATGTGGTGGGAACATCCACAGCCTCCCAATTCCTGCTTATCTTAAAGTATTGAGAATTGATTATGCTTCTTGAAATGTGGAGACTTGAGCAAATACTGCAGCAGGTCTCAGGAAGTGAATGGAAAGAAGTAATTTCCAAAGTGGCATTGCCCTACACACTTGTAGGAGTAGATGCATCTCCCCGATCCCATGGAATTCAGTTCTGTACTCTAATATTAAGCATCCTTTTGCCAAGATAGTAAGATAGCCTGTTCACTCTCTCTGTGTCAACACATTTTAACCACAGTTTAACATTGGAGCCTCTCGTACAATAGACAAGTTATGGGTTTCATAGTCATTTTAGTGCCCCTGGCATTGCCGGGTTTCACTGGTTGGTGGATTCAACCCAATGCATATTTTTCAGTTAGGGACATAGAAGGGTGGTCCATAACACGCTGGAATTTTTTGAAGAAGGGAAAGCAGCCTTAAGTTCTTCATTGCCTGAAAACCACTGAGGGAGAACCAGCACTAATTTGGCTGTTCTTGGAATAAAACCCTGTCCATGAACTGTACTCAGAAGTTATATGTTCTCTAAGTTTGTCCTTTGCCATGTGAACGTGGCAGATGGAAGTGGTTAGAGATCACTGAAGTTGTTTTTTGTTATTGTTGTTTTTCCTTCTCATGGAGAGGGTCTGCTTTCCATAGATGCGCTTATTCATTTGATTGAATCCTGTATATTGATAGTGTTTTGGTAACTTTGCAGCCTGGGAAGACGCATGGATTGTGGAAGGGTCACGTTTTTCTCATGGAATTTAAAGTTTGATGTATTTGGTAGCTACTTATTTCTAAAAGCCCTTGGTATTGCTTTGACGGCTGCACCCTGTGTTTTCCTGCAGGACGTAAAGAACAGAAGAAATCCTCGCCTTGTTCCCTACACTCTTCTGGATGACCGAACCAAGAAATCCAACAAGGACAGCCTCCGCGAGGCTGTGCGCACGCTGCTGGGGTACGGCTACAACTTGGAAGCACCAGATCAAGATCATGGTATTTTGGTTTTACTTTCCTCTTCTTCGGTTGCAAGATGATGTAGTAGTTCTTTAAAGCCAAATAAATGAATAAAAGGGGGAGTACTGGATAGAGTCCTCTAGTCTAGGTGTGGAATTTCAGCCAAGTGGATTTTCTTCCCTGAAAAACACCTGAGGGATTAGACCCATCTCTCAGTGGGATGGCTCAGGATGCTGATGATTCTTTGGGCGGAGAAAATGGGCCTGTCTTCCTCAAGCCTCTGAGATCAGTAGGTACCTCCCTGATTATGATATTGGGCTCCTCCCCTAGCCCACCAGCCCTCCTCCAGAACAGCTGATTTTTGCTGATTTGGGGAATAAGCTTGTAGTGGAGGCTAGTGTTTTACAAAATCCCACCTTCATCATTTACACACACGTACAGGCAACATTGAATTAATTAATGTGATATTCTGCTTTAAGGGAAACACATTACAATAGATACTCAATAACTAACTATGTGTTGAACACAATGGATTTTTAAAGGTTCTGCAAAGAATACATTTTCCTTAAATAATACCTTTGAAGAATGTAGTTTAGGCCGGGCATGGTGGCTCACGCCTGTAATCCCAGCAGTTTGGGAGGCTGAGGCAGGCGGATCACAAGGTCAGGAGATTGAGACCATCCTGGCTAACACAGTGAAACCCCATTTCTACTAAAAAATACAAAAAAATTAGCTGGGCATGGTGGCGGACACCTGTAGTCCCAGCTACTCGGGAGGCTGAGGCAGGAGAATGGTGTGAACCCGGGAGGCAGAGCTTGCAGTGAGCCGAGATGGCGCCACTGCACTCCAGCCTGGGTGACAGAGCAAGACTCCGTCTCAAAAAAAAAAAAAAAAAAAGAATGTAGTTTAGAATGATCCACTCTTTAATCCGTTGCTCCTGCAGTCTGAGTTAGTTTAATACCCATTTTCAAAAAATTGGCAAAAAACAAATTACGGTTGTGTGCTTCGTCACAGGGCCTATAATTTTTGATGGAAAGTTTTAAAAATGTATTCCAAATGTATTCTAGTGGCTCATATTTTCAGTGCATTACCTGTACATAAAAGTGGATCTTAAATAATAATGATAGTTTATATATTCACTGTGTAAGTGTTTCTAAGACTTTTACAATTATTATTTAATCCTCACAGTAACTCTTATGAGGATGATGCTTGTATTACGCTCATTTTACAGATAAGGAAACTGAGATTCAGGGACTTCTGTGTCTTCCCATTTAAAGTGGCAGGTGTAGGATCCTAATCATAGGCATCCTGACATATTTTAGTCCTTTGAATTGAGTAAAGACATACTTGGCATCTTGACAGATCTTATCAGTTACTGGATTCTTATATTTGCTGCAAATTAAATGACGTATCTACTTGTTAACAGTAATATCCATAATGCTAACATAATATCTATCTTGAGGTTAGCTTTCTAACAACAGAGATGTGGTACACGCATTATGAATCAGTTGCTGTTAGGTGTGCAGATACCAAGAAGATTCCTGTCTCAAAGAGTGTACAGTCCCTGTAACCACTGGGAAGAAAGTAAACAATAAAAGGCTTGTAAGCCAAAAAATGGCAATCAAAGAGACTTCTGTAATTCTCTGATATAGAATAAACCCTCAAAGCTAATTAGTTCTATATAATTATGTTTTTAAATTGAAATAGAAATTGTTTTAAAAACAATTTAAAAAATAGTTTTTAAATTGAATAGAAATTTGTATACAATAAAATGTACACATCTGAAGTGTTCAGTCTGGTAAATTTTGACAGTTGTAGAAACAAAAGGAACCACTACCGAAAACACCTCCAATATTTTCTTCATTCCAGAAAGTTTGTGTTCCCAACAAAGTAACCACTTTGTAAGTTCTATCATTACAGATTAATTTATAGCAAATAGACATATAAATGTAACCTATAAATGTAGATTTTATAATCATTATCACGTGTATTTTTTATATGTAGTTTCTTTTGTTCATCATGATGCTTTTATGATCTTGCATGTTTTATGTATATCACAAAATCTATTGCTCAGTGGCATTCCTTAAATAATAATAGTAATAATTTACTGTTTGTTTATCCATTCTCCTATAGATGGATGATGTGGGTTGTTTCCAATTTTAGGTGATTATGAATAAGGCTGCTATGAATATTCATATACAAATCTTGGTATATAATTAATATAATTAATCTTTCATTTCTCTTAGACTAAATATTTAGGAGTATAATTACCGAGGCATATTTTCTAATTTTTGTTGGCCTTTTTACTGAATTGTGTTTCTAAAAGTATATTTTGGATAGAAGAACCATGTCAGGTATGGAAGGATTTTCTTCCGTTTGTAAGTTGCTTTTTCACTTTCTTAATGAGGTCTTTCAAAGAGCAGACATTCTTAATTTGAAGTCCATTTATGATTTTTTTCCTTTATAGTTGTGGGTTCCTAGGACATCTTTGCCTATGCAAAAACAAAAATATTGTCTCTTATGTTTCCTTCCAGAGTTTTATTATTCTAGCTTTTACTTGTAGGTGTGTGATCTAAAGTGAGTTAGCTTTTGTGTATGATGTAAGCTTAAGATCAAGGTTCATTTGTTGCACAGATGAATATCCAACTGTCCCAGCACCATTTGTTGGAACAATTATCCTTACCAAATTAAATTACCTTGGCGTCTTAGTCAAAACCTATTGAACACATAAGTCAGTCTATTTCTGGACTGTATATTCTGTTCCATTGATCTTTATGTCTGTCCTTAAGTTAATATTCCATTGTCTTCATTTTTATCACATAGTAAATTTAAAATCAGGTAGGGCAAGTCTTCCAACTTCTTTCATATTTTATAAAGGTTTTTTGTTCTTCTTTTGCATTTCCATATACATTTAGATTCAACTTGTTAATTTGATTTGGATGGGATTACAGTTGAATTCATAGGTCAGTTTGGGAAGAATTGATATTTTAGCCATATTTAGTCGACCAATTCATGAACATGGTACATTTGTCCATTTATTTTCATCCTCTTTAGTTTCTCTTAGCATTGCTTTGCAGTTTTCAGACTAGAGGTCTTATACATTATTTGATTTATCTATATTTTTGATACTATTAAATGAAATTAGTTTAAAGTTCATTTCATTTTCCAACTGTACACGAATATGAGATATATAATTGATATTTACATATTGATCTTATATCCTGTGATTTGGCTAAATTTATATGTCAGTTCTATTTTTTTGTAAATTCAGTGGGATTGTCTATATACATAATCATGAGGTCTGCAAAAACTAAACCTCACTTTTTCTTTTACAATTGGTATAGCTTTTTTGCTTCTTGATTTATTGAACTGGTAAAGAATTCAGAACACTATTGAATAGAAATGGTAAGAGAGTTTATTCTGCCTTATAGGGGGAAAGTTGTGATGTTTCACCATTAAGTATGATGTTAAGTATAGCTTTTTATAGCTGTCCTTTATCACATTGAAGAGATTCCCTTCTGTTCTTAGTTTGTGGGTGATTTTATCATAAATAGGGTCATGAATTTTGTCCAGTGCTTTTTTCCCCATTTATTGAACAGATTATGTATTTTTCTCCTGTATTCTGTGGATATCATGACTATCAAGTGATTTTCAAATGTTAAACCAACTTTCTAGTTCTAGGATAACTCTCTTCAGTCATGATGCATTGTCCTTTTTTACACAGAGCTGTATTCTATTTGTTAATATTTTGCTTAGGACTTTTGTAGCTAAGTTTATGGGCAATACACTGGTATATATTTTTTTCTTATAATGTCTTTGTTAGATTTTGATATCAATGTAAATCTAGCTTCCTAAGTAGGAAATTTTCTCTTCTGTTTTCTGAAAGAATTTGTGTTAATTCTACATTGTTTCTTTTTCAAATATTTGATAGAATTTATCATTGAAACCACGAGCCTAGAGTTTTATACTATAGGAAAGGTATTTTGTTATGAATTCAATGTATTTGATAGCTTGAGAGCTATTTAGATTTTCTATTTATTTGTGTGTCAACTTTGATAAATTATGTTTTTCTGTAAATTAGTTCATTTAATTTAGGTTGCCATATATAGGCATAAAATTGCACTAATGTGCTCTTATTATTCTTTTAATGTCTGTAGGATCTTTAATGATATCTCTCTTTTCATTCCTGGTAATGATAGTTGATGTTTTCTCTCTTTTTATCTTGATCACTTCTCTAAGGGATTAATTGATTTTATAAATCTTTTCAAAGGTTAATTGAACTTAAATGTACTTTTGTTTTGGTTAAACTTTCAGACATTTATTTATTTCTCCATATCACCAATCGTGGATTATTATGAGTGATCTGCTGTGGTTATGTGTGACTATGTCTTACATTACCTTAGGAAAGCATGGCATTATTGAGTAGGACTATGGCATCCTATGGAGAACGTTAATGTTCAATCACAGTATCAAGAGATCCTGGTTTCACAGCTTTGAAATGACCTATTAAATGTACTTTCTAATCAACAAATGTATATATCAGGCATACAAATATTCACTAACATTGCCTTATGATAATATAGTATTTCCAATAGTGTTTTTGCATATTTTCAAATATTTGATTCAACTACTCTCTTTAGGCAAAAGAAGGGTGTAATAATCAAAGAGTTCTTGAGCTTCCCTCTAACTTTATAATTCTTTAACATTTGTGCATCCCTAGAGGATGTAGGTAGCAGTGATGACAGTCAATATATTTTTAGGTTGGAAAGATACTTATATAATGATAAAGATAAAATTTTGGGGAAAAAACTCACACCTGGTTTTATAGTCTGACACATCAACCATTTGATTTCCCCAGGTTTTCATTACTTTACACATGAATATTTATATTTTGGTATCTATAGTCTTAATAGAGATATAATTACCTGTTTTCCTTCCGCTCCCCCACTCTGCTTAATATCAAACATTTTGAAAGTTACTTACTCTACATTTAGAAGGAACTCTGACAACATTGCTTTCCTGATACTCACTGAAAATTGCAAAGAGAGAATGCCTAAGTCTGGTTGACTCAATTTTAAACTTATAGATAATAACTTAATAATAAATGTCTAAAGTTATAGATAATAACTAAAAATAAGGGAAAACACTACAGCTCAGAGAATTTATAACCTTGAGTCTTCAAGGAAAGAGTTAATTATGGTCAGTATCCAGGAAAAGGAGTACAGTTTCCCCTGCACATAGAAATATGCATTGCAATGCCAGACAGAAAAAAATCAATGATGGTTATATTTTAAAGATATTGTCACTTAAGGGCATAAACTATATTCAGTGACACATGATACATTTGCTTTTAGAGATAACTTTACTCCAGAATGGTGCCAGATAAGTAAAATGTTAAGAAGTTATTCTGATGACATACAGTGTTTTATACTATTTGTAGCTAATACGTATTAATAATTTCATCTTCGTAACACCGTTGTGGACAACATATTGCTACCTTATGGGTACCTACTTTCTTCTGAATTATGTGAATTTTAAGAAGAAAGAAAAGGAGCTTATATTTATAAAACATATGCTCCACTTCATTTTACTTCCATATTTGCAATTCTCATTTCCATTTTTTAAAATATTATTATTATTATTATTATTATTATTATTATTAGTTGAGATAGAATCTCGCTCTGTCCCCCAGGCTGGAGTGCAGTGGTGCAATCTCAGTTCACTGCAACCTCTGCCTCCCTGGTTCAGGTGATTTTCCCTGCCTCAGCCTCCCGAGTAGCTGGGACTACATGCGCCTGCCACGAGGCCCGGCTAATTTTTTTTTTTTTTTGTATTTTTAGTAGAGGCGGGGTTTCACCATATTGGCCAGGCTGGTCTTGAACTCCTGATGTTGTGATCCACCCACCTTGGCCTCCCAAAGTGCTGGGATTACAGGCATGAGCCACTGCACCTGGCCACTCTATTTTATTTTAACACATAGATATGGAACACCTACTGTGCCTAGTTCTGGGAATTCAAAGATGAATAAGAGTTTTTGTCTTATGTAGCTCTCAGTGTAGACAGGGAAAATAGACTAAATTGCTACCACTACCATACAATGAAAGTGTTAAGCTGAAGAGTCATAACACAGGGGGTTTAAATCAGCTTGGTGATATGAGGGAAATCTTTAAAGAGGAGGTATATTAGTTATCTATTCCTGTACAGCAAACTACCCCTTTCCCTCCCACCAAAAAAAAAAAAAAAAAAAAAAAAAAAAACCCTCTCAGTGGCTAAAAATAACAAAATTTGTTATCTCAAAGTTTCTGTGGGTTATGAATGTGAGTGATAGGTGGTTCTGGATCATAGTCTCTCTGAGATTGCTATTAAGTTGGCCAGGGCTTAAGTCATCTGAAGACTTCACTGGAGCTGGAGCACTGGATACTAAGACAGCTCACTTGCATAACTGTTGGCTAAAGAACTCGCTTCCTCTCTGGCTGTTGGCAGAAGACACAGCCAGATGGGTACAGCCTTGCCACACAGAGCTCTTCATAGAGATGCTCGAGTGCCTTCACATGGAAGCTGACTTCCCCCAGAATGAAAAATCGAAGAGTGAGTACAAGGATGCTGTAATGCTTGTTACAATTACTTCTATTATATTCTGTTTGTTAGAAGTGAACCACTAAATGAAGCCCACACTTTTTGAATGGAGGTGTACTCAAGTATTTGTGGACATATTTTAAAACCACCAAAGTAGGTACAGCTAAGTCAATCGGGTTCATGCATTTCAGGCAGAGAGAATAGTATATGTAAAGGCTTAGAGACACAAGGAGGATTGCAAATGGGAATTTCAGAGAGCTTTGTACGACCAGATGTAGAGTGGAGTTTGAAAAGTGGCAGTAGATCAAATAGAGGAGGCAGGAGTTGAAACAGTTTTTTTTTTTTTTTAAATTAAAGAATGATTCTAGTGGCTCTTTAGGAAAAAGGCTGAATGTAAACAAAACTGGAGATGAGGACAGCAGTTTGGTGACAAAAAAGAAGTATAGATGAGGAGTGTTGGAGACCTTGTCTTTGGCAATACTGTGAACAGAAAAAATTATTTGGCATTTAGAAGTAGAATCAGCAGAAGGACAAAGGAGGCATCTGAGATAGTTTCTGGATTGATAGATGTCAAGTACATACACACTGGTTGGGAACACAGGAATTGGAGCAGATGGACATGGGGTAGTGGGAAGATTCTGAGTTTTATTGTAAACATCTTCAGTTTGAGGTGCATGTGAGACAACTCAACACATATACCAGGATTCAATTACATATATAAGTACAAACGTGAGACTATTGCTAGAGAGAAACAGAGGGTTAAAAATTTAATTTTTTAAATGAAAGAAATGTGGACATTTTTACACTAAGGGAGAGAGAGAGGTTGAAAGTACAGTAAGAGGAGCTTGATGAGCTGTGGTCTCTGAGAAGGTTGAAGGGAATGAAATTCAGAGCATGGGTAAAGGGATTGGCCTCCTGTAAAAGGAACAACAACACTTATTCCCCTAAGGTTAGTAGGAAAGAAGTAAAGATTGAAGACGCTGCAAAAACCTGTGTACAGGGAAAATCAGGAGGAAGCTGAGGGCAGTCTACTGTATAATTATTGTCTTCAGGTTGAAATAGAAAATGAGTTTATTTTCCTAAGGAGTAGAAGTTAGGGCAGGCTGGACTGGATTAGAAGCCTTGAAGAGAGCAGTAAAGATGTGTTGGGTATAGAATTCTCAGCTGACAATTATTTTTTCTTTTAGTACTCAGATATATCATCCCGCTGCCTTCTGGCCTTTATGTTTTCTGATAAGGCATTGACATTAATCTTTTGGAGGGTCCCTTGTATGTGATGAGTTGCTTCTCTCTTGCTGTTTTCAGGATTCTCTCTCTGTTTTTGGATTTGAACAGTTTGATTATGATGTGTCTAGTTTTAATTTCTTTGAGTTTATCCCCAAAGTTTACTGTACTTCTTAGATGTGTAAATGAATGTTTTTCATCAAATTTGGGAAGCTTCTGGCCATTATTTATTCATTCTTTCTTCTCTTTTCTGTCTCTCCTTACAGTCTGTGATTTCCATTATGTGTATGTTGGTATGGTTGAGTGTATCCCCCAGGCCTCTGAAGCTCTGCTTGTCTTTCTTCATTTCTTCTTCAGTTTTTCATACTTGACTAACGGACTTATCTTCAAGTTCATTGATTCTTGTCAGTGCAAATCTGTTGTTGAGCCCTCTGATGTATGTTTAATTTCAGGTACTGTGCTTATCAACTCCAGAAATTTTTATTCTTTTTTATAATTTACCTCTTTATTGATATTCACTATTTGGTGAAGCATCATTTTTGTACTTTTTTTTTTTTTTGAGATGGAGTTTTGCTCTTGTTGCCCAGGCTGGAGTGCAATGGCGTGATCTCGGCTCACTGCAACCTTCACCTCCCAGGTTCAAGTGACTGTCCTGCCTCAGCCTCCCAAGTAGCTGGGATAATAAGAATACTGGCAAAAAATTATGCAAATCAAATTTTTCATAGTTCTGGAAATTAACTAAAGGCTGGCCAAAATCCAGGGAGTGTTTATTTGATTAAAATGTCCAAATGTTGCTAAGAACAGCAACTAGTGATGTTTTAACTTGCTCCTGCCCCATCACCCTCTCTCTAATTCTATGGCATATTGAAAACCAACGGCCCCTCAATCATAGTGAAAATCAGCCACCCACAAGCCGCTGGAGTGGGCAGAACAGAGTTGGACCACCACCATGCCTGGCTAATTTTGTATTTTTAGTAGATATGGGGTTTCACTGTGTTGATCAGGCTGGTCTCGAACTCCTGACCTCAGGTGATCCACCTGCCTCGGCCTCCCAAAGTGCTAGGATTACAGGCATGAGACGCTGTGCCCAGCCTCATACTTTTATTTAGTTCATTACACATGGTTTTATTTAGTTCTTTGAACAGATTTAAAATACCTAACTTAAAGTCTTTGTCTAATAAGCCCAACATCTCGGCCTCCTGAGGAATAATTTCTATTGACTGCTTTTTACCCCTTTATGTATGGGACATACTGTCTTGTCTTTTTGCATGTCTCACAATTTTTGTGAAAAATTGAACATTTAAAGTAATGTAATTTGGTAACTCTGTATTCGCCCCTATTTCAGATTTTGTTGTTGTGCTTATTGTCATTGTTGTTTGCTTTCTTGGTAATTTTTCTAAACTAGTTTAGTAGAGACTGTGTTGCCTGTCATGTGTGGCCACTGAAGTCTCAGTTTCATTAGCTTCATGGTCAGCTGATGGTAGGACAGAGACTTCTTTAAATGCCTAGGACTGATAAGTCTCCCAGTCTTTACCAAAGGAGAGGCAATGTAATGTGAGCATATTGGCACATGCCTTCAACACTCAACCAGGCAATTTATAATTTCACATTAGCCTTCTCTTACTGCATGTGCAGAGCCTCAAGGTCTTTCAGAGGTGTAAGCTTTCTCAGGTTTTTCCTGAATACATGCACAGCCCTGGGCATGAGCATGGCCTTCTAGAGTCCCAGGAATATGTTGGAGCTTCTCACATCCCACTATGGATATTTCACTCCCCAGCTTTTCCTTTCAAACTTTTTGGTCAGTTGCTGTTTGCCTCAGCTGTTATTGCTGCCTCACAAAGCTGCAAGGCTAACAAATTGCCTCAGATGATTTTCAACAAATGTCCTTGGAGAAACAACTATTTGCACTGGGCAAGCTCTAAGTCAAGTGGAATAAAGACAAGTCTTACCGATGGAATTTTCCAGAAAAGGGAACATAATGACAGTTATCTGGGAACTGGGCTTTGGAGGAACTCCAGCTCTGTTCTGCCCACTACAAGGGCTTATGGGTGGCTGATTTTCACTATGATTGAGGGTCCTTTGGTTTTCAATATGCTGTGGAATTAGAGAGAGGGTGATGCAGCAGGAGCAAATTAAAACATCACTAGTTTGCTGTTCTTACCAACATTTGGACATTTTTATCAAATAAACACTCCCTGGCTTTTGCCAGCCTTTAGTTAATTTCCAGAGCTATGAAAAATTTCATTTGCATAGTTTTTTGCCAGTGTTCTCATTAATTCTGTGGAGAAGAGGATTTTTGGAGATTCTTTCTCTACCATTTCTACTGATGTCACTCAGCAATAAAGATTAAAAATTGCTGTTTTGTGGGATGGAACAGAGAGCAGACTGCAAACAGATAAAAACATTGTGGAGAAACATTGATGGTCCCGTTGAGGTTAGAGACTCTGAGTTAGTGGTGCCAATCTGTTCGGTGCATGTGTTTTCTGGCGAACTCAGCAGAGCAGGTATAGATGTTGAGAGTGAAGGTAGTGAAATTGGACAGTAATTGGGGTTAAGAGAGCAAGTAGGGGAAAAGCTAATAAGGGCAAGAAAGTATGGAAAGTTATATAGGGAAGGGAAGAATGAAGGAATCTAATGAGTTTGAAGAGTGAGTGTATAAGAAAATGAGAAAACAGGGAGAAAAAATGGTGATCACACAATCTCTGTATTTTAAGAATTTAGAGATAGAGCCACTGACAGTTGTTTGACAAGGTTTGATTTTACCGAAGTTATGTGAACAGTGAGCAATGAGAATAGAGTGGCATATTCTACAGTAGAAGCTGAGATTATGTTTAGTGTTTACTATGTGCCAGGATATAACAGCATGCTTCATAGTAGGGATGCAAGTGATCTGTATGGAAAAGACATAAGAAGAAAGATTAATTTTCCAATGGGAGGAATCAGTAAAGGGAGAAATATCTTCAGAGTTAGATGTTGAAAGGATCAGGAATCAGTAAAGGGAGAAAATGTCTTCAGAATTAGATGTTGAAAGGATCAAAATTTCAACAAGTAGAGATTAGTGTCAGAAAGGCCATCGCTACTAGAAAGAAAGTACATCTGATGTGATTAAGTGTAGAAAGAGTTGAGGAAGGGTAGATGGTCCACTTAGGATAAAATATAGGGTACAGATGGGCAGAGAGAACAGACATAGATGAAGGTAGAAAGATTAGGGCAAAATATGGAATATCTTGCAAACTCAGCTAAGAAATGTGGATAAATTTGTATAAGGAGTACCAGCCCCAGGAAGTTTTAAAGCAAGAGCTTGATGTGTGATCACAGTTTACAATAGCAATATAACTACGGCAACAGTGGGAAGGGACAGATTGGAGGGGGCAGTGCTTGGAGGTAGACCAGTTGGGAGGCTTTAGAAAAATTGTTTTTTTGAACAAGGATGGTGGGAATAAAAATTAAAAGATAGATGTTGAGAGATTTTATAGCATAAAGCAAAATCAGTCTGATTATCACTAAGAGGAGATTCAAAACATTCATTTATAATAGTCTATACTGCTGTTGCTGACATTTAAAAAAAAGTCAAGGGCATAAAAAGTTTAATAAAATTGAATCAAGCCTTATGTAATTAATCAGAATTATAATTTATTTTCTCTTAGGAGAATGCTTACATATTCCAGATAAAACATGAACTCTGTATTTGAGTTGTAGTATCTTTGGAGTACTGTTGTCAATAATATTTTAAAGCATTTGAAAATGGAATTTATTCTTATTTACTACAAGGTTTAATCAAGATTTGAATTGTTTTATCCAAAATAATACCAGAAGGTTGAAAGGATGGCTGATTAATACCAATAATTTTAAAAAGTATTATCATTAGACCTAAAAGATTCTAGATATGTATAAAATTTTAGCTTTTCCTTATAGCTTCTTGTAACTTAAGATTTTAATGTATAGTTAGATCTTGACTGCCCTCTAGTGGCATATATTTTCTTAGCTATATTGTTTGGAGAGCAGAGTGTATGGTTACTTTAGGCCTTTTTAGGCCCTAGTTAGGTGATTGGTGGTGTGTCATGCCTGGGAGGTACGGGGAGCACAGTCTTTGCTCAGTCCTTGGCCTTAATCTTGAGGTAGTTCATTAATAATATAATTCCTGAATTGTTTCTGCTTTGAATACCAACAGACTTGATAATGTATGACAGGAATATGTCTCCCAACTATTCATTTTTAAATGTCCATTATTATTATATTCATTATAACAGTATAAAAATCACTTATATAACATACTTACATGAGTTATAATTGCCTATCAAACACATAAATATATCGTGTTTAAAATCGAGCAAAGCATAAGGATGTTCGGGGGAGAGTTCTGTGCCTTTGACAGGATGCTACCCATTAGCTATTTGTCTGGGCTGCTATATCCGGAGCCCGGAAGAGTCTTCGTTTCTAGATACAGTTTGGCAGGTATATATGGAGCACTTACTTTGTGGCTCAGGTGCTTGATACTACAAGGTATGCAAAATAAGTTTGTTACGGATTGCTTGGATCTTTTTAAAAAACTCCTACAAACCCAGATTTCACTTTGTATTAGTATTTTAGCAAGAGGTATAATGTTGAACTGTTGCTTCTTTAAAACGTAGTTGCAAACTACCCTAAACTAACTTAATAAATATATACTATGGGGCAGGGCACAGTGGCTCACACCTGTAATCCCAGCACTTTGGGAGGCTGAGGCTGGTGGATCACCTGAGGCTCGAAGTTCGAGACCAGCGTGACAATGGTGAAACCCCGTCTCTACTGAAAATACAAAAAAATTAGCTGGGCTTGGATGGTGGCACATGCCTGTAACCCCAGCTACTCAGGAAGCCGAGGCAGGGGAATTGCTTGAACCCAGGAGGCGGAAGTTGCAATGAGCTGAGATGGTGCCATCGCACTCCAGCCTGGGCAACAAGAGCAAAACTCCATCTCAAAAAAAAAAAAACACAAACAAATAGGAAAATCCACAGAGATTAAAAAAGAAAAAGAAGAGTCCTTTTTTTTTTGTGAAGTCCCTTGCATGATAGTATCTGTGAACCACATGTTTGTTTCAAATTCAGGTTAAGTATCATCAATGAGCATAAGAATAGCATAGCATTAGGGCCAGGAAGAAGAATATTAGGACTCAGAAACTCTGCATTGTTTCTACTGCAATATATTCTCCATGTAGTACCCCCTATTTTCATTCCCTATAGTAATAAAGGGGATTAGTGGTATGTTTTAATTCCAAGAGAATTGTGTAGGGGGCTTTTGGGGAAATTATTACATTTTTATACCGAATTTGCCTTCTAAAATATTTGATTTGTGCTAATATTAAAATTAGTTTGCATTACTTGAGTGCACTATACATATTTGTGAAGTCTTGATATATTAGAAACCAAACACAGAAAAGAGAACCTGGTATTTTTCAGTAGTTTAGTTTTCCAAAAAAACTGTAGTATAGTTTTCATGGTATATAATGACTATAGTATATACTAATTCTATATTTAGAAAATTAGGAGTTACATCTATTAATGCATACTAGAATGTAATGTAATATTTTATTTGCAAATATCAACATAATTAAAAATAAGGATAACTACCTGATCATTTTTTCTTCCCTGAAAATAATCTCCAAATTTTTGTGTAATTTATAGCTCATATTTATCTCTTAGATTCATTTAGGGAAGATTACAGGCATGTTTTAAGGAAACAATTTATCGGTAATCTGTTTTTTGAGGAAATACTAACTCTGAGTAAAAATTTGACTTTCCTGTTTGTTTAGTATTGCAGCACTGAGAACGAGTTTCTTTCTTTCTTTCTTTTTTTAAACACAGAGTCTTGCTCTGTTGCCCAGGCTAGAGTGTAGTGGCATGGTATCGGCTCACTGCATCCTCTGCTTCCCGGGCTCAAGCAGTTCTCCTGCTCAGCCTCCCAAGTAGCTGGGATTACAGGCATATGCCACCAGGCCCTGATGATTTTTGTATTTTTTGTAGAGATGGGATTTCACCATGTTGGCCAGACTGGTCTCGAATTCCTGACCTCAAGTGATTTGCCTGCCTCAGCCTCCCACAGTGTTGGGATAACAGGTGTGAGCCACCGCGACCCGCCAAGAACTAGTTTCTTAATAGCACAAACTACCTTTAAATATCATAAAATCTGATAGAATTTTTTTCTCTCAAAACAACGTTTACGATCCTATTTTTCAAAATATATTTACTTACCAAGTAATAGGCATGAGAATTTACCCTTAACCATAGAAATGTTTCTCTGATTCAGAGACTTAAGCTAGTTTCTGAAGGGTTAGCCAGCAGATTCAGTTAGTTCTACATTCAGTAAGCACTACCACCATTATCAAAAAAGCAGTTATTGATCGTTTCATTAATTAAGCCCATGTGATAGGGAGCCATCTCATGCTACAGCCATGGTGTCTCCACTGCTTTACTTCATCTCATTTTAAATTGTTACATATGACCTAGCTGTATGTTTATTGGCAACCTTTAGTGCTTATATAGATTATTTTTATAGTTCTAATTTGATCATACCAAGTCATTGATTGAACTGTTATTAAATTTTTATTATGCATAAAGTCTTTCCCAAATCTTAAGGAGAAACAAATAGGAACTTCCTTCTTCTCTTTTCTTTTCTTTCTTTCTTTTTCTTTCTTTCTTTCTTTCTTTCTTTTTCTTTCTTTCTTTCTCTTTCTTTCTTTCTTTCTTTCTTTCTTTCTTTCTTTCTTTCTTTCTTTCTTTCTTTCTTTCTTTCTTTTGTCTTTCTTTCTTTCTCTCTCTCTCTTTCTTTCTCTTTGTTTGTTTGTTTTGTTTTGAGACAGGATCTCACTCTATCACCCAGGCTGGAATGCAGTAGAACGACCATAGCTCACTGCAACCTCGACCTTCTAGGCTCAAGTGATCCTTCTGTATCAGCCTCTTGAGAAGCTTGGACTTACAGGCATGCACTACCATGTCTGGCTGAATTTTTAAACTCTTTGTAGAGACAGGGTACCACTATGTTGCCCGGGCGCGATCCTCCCGCCTTGGCCTTCCAAAGTGTTGAGACTACAGCTGTGAGCCACCACACCTGGCTGAAAACTAGCATTTAACCAGTAACTAGTAACTCTGTGCGAGCTATTGGAGGCAAAGTAGGAAGAAGAGGGGCTATAACATGAAGCAGCTCCCAAGTTCCACCATTTTTAGTTGTGCGATGTTGGTCAAGTCTGAAATTTCCTCCTCTGCATCTAACTCAGATGTTAGCTGGGTGACCACCTTCTTTGAGATATCAATTCAATGAACACTCATTCCTCTCCTCTGTGGTTTCAGAAGGACTTACCTTCTCATCGTCGTTCTGGCTCTGGGTTCCTCATTCTGAGACTTCCCCCTCTCGTCTCTCTCAATCTCACCTGCATCTCATTTCCTAGGGATACTTTTCCCCCTTTTGCATCACACTGGTCCTAATGTTGGATGCTGACCTTTTTATTTTTCCCCCAGATCTTTTAAATACAGCATTTGTATGTATAGCAGATCACAGTGAAGATGTATGCGAGAATGGAAAAATTTTGCATCACATTTGAGTTCCTTAGCCATCACCATCCTGTAGGGAAATTTTTACTATTGATGCTATTGTTACTTTTCTCCACTGTTTACAACTTTCCCTTATTTCTGTTTCTCTTCTCTTCCTTGCTTCGTCTTCCCTCTTCTCTCTCACCCGTACATGTCTACTCATTTCTTATGCAGAGCAGTTCGGATCTTTTTTCTTATTGACTTCTTTCCATCTCATCCTCCACAACCAAAGCACCAAGGCACTTGGGTTTTGTTCTACAGAAAGGTCGTTCCCTCCTGAAAATGAGGCTGACGGAGACTCATTCCCCAGTCTCTCCAGCGCAAGCCCTGGTGCTTTCCACTTCACCCAGCTGGTCTGACAGTGGCTGATCCTAGATCAGAAAGCACTTGGTAAAATGGGAAAGAAGATAAGAAGGTATCATTATCATCATCGCTCTAGGTTGAATTACTAAAGTCGTGATTTATCTTTCCTTCTTTTATTTATGATATCTTTCCTTCTCTTTCACCTCCCCATCCAATGACCACCAGAAATCTCTGTCCATTTCCCAGCAGCCAGAGCCGAAGTGTGCAGCGGCACCGGGGAAAGGTTCCGAATCTTCCGTGCCGAGAAGACCTATGCAGTGAAGGCCGGACGGTGGTATTTTGAATTTGAGACGGTCACTGCTGGAGACATGAGGGTTGGTTGGAGTCGTCCTGGTTGTCAACCGGATCAGGAGCTTGGCTCAGATGAACGTGCCTTTGCCTTTGATGGCTTCAAGGTGAGTGGACTTTGTCCTGTGCCAGTCATCTGTACGTGCTGGAGGCTCATCTCCTCTGCTGTTCCTCTTGGTAGCTTCACAGTACCAGTGTTTCCCACAGCACAAACGTGGAAAAATATTTCACAGGAAAGCTTTTGTCCTCGTAGTCTCAAAACCCTTCCCTACAACCCATGAATGCAGTGAAATTCACCAAGTAAGACATTGCTTTTCCATGGTTATCAAAAAGATAAATCATCTTTGTCTATCAAAATGTTAAAGATACATATGTAGAGGAAAAATGCATATACATTGACGCAGCGATTCCGTATCAGGAGTTTATCTTTAAGCTATAATTAGTGGTTTGTATGAACATTTAATAGCTACAATGCTTAATGTAGTGTTGTTTATAATCACAAACGGTTTTCATTTTCAACATTATTGGTAATTTCTATTAAGTTGGATGGAAGCTGGTCAGGTGTTTATTTTGTTATTTATATACTAATAAATGTTTAAAGATTCTTTTACATGTGTAAAATATTTTGATCAGTAATATGGGCGAGGTGCCTGTAATCCCAGCACTTTGAGAGGCTGAGATGGAGGGATCACTTGGGGCTAGGAGTGCAAGACCAGCCTGGGCAACAAAGTAAGATCCTGTCTCTACAAAAAAAAAAAAAAAAAAATTAAAATTAGCCAAGCATGGTGGTGTGCACTTGTGGTCCCAGCTACATACGAGGCTGAGGTGAGAGGATTGCTTGAGCTCGGGAGGTCGAGGCTGCAATGAGCCATGATCACACCACTGCACTCCAGCCTGGGCAACAGAGTGAGACCTTGTCTCAAAACAAACAAAAAAATAATAATAACAACAAGGTATATATGCTTATAGCCACAATAGGATAATAATAGTCACTTTTGATTGGTAAAATCATAGATTTTTTTAAAGTCTTCTTTTTTTTTTATTTTTTAAGTGAATTTATTTTCCTTTTCACATGAGGGGGAAAAAGCTACTTTTTAACCAAGAAAAATAAAATTAGAATAAATAAGCAATCATGAAGAGATTTGACGTTTGGATATTTCTTGGAGTGAAATGTCCTGTGTAGGAAAGCATTTCTAGGCTTGAAATTAGGGCAGTTGACCCACTTAGTTTTGAAACATCACATTTCCTGAATCCAGTTTTTTAAAAATTTCAAATAGAAAAATTTAACACTTTTTTGGGGGGTTGGGGGGCGGTCAAAATTAGCAAACTTTAAACTTCAAAAAATAAAATAACAGATAAAAGGCAGCTTTAGGTTTATACCTCCTGAAGATCAGATGTAATGAACCAGAGTGGGAAGTAACCTGAGGAAGTTAAAATAACCTTTACTCCCAGTCAAATGATAGGCAAGAAAGGATACTCCCGATTTGGGAACAGGCATGGGGTGGGTGGGGTAGGAAGGAGAACACCACAGCCAGGTAAGTCGGTTGGGCATTTTATGCCTTTTGATACCTGATGTAAACTTTTTTAAAAAGACAGTGTGTTATATTAAGAAGAATTATGTCATTGCTTTGCATTGGCGACTCTGTCTGGTAACGTACCGATTCACAATGAAGGTGAGGTTTAAGAAAAAGTCAAAAGATTTATCTGAAAAAAAAATTCACATAACTCAGGTGTGCTTATGAATCAACGGAATATACTTGTAGATGCAAAAGTCACGTTTATCAAAACTATGTTTCAAATGTACTTACAATATGAGATTTCACTTTATGTATATATATAAAAAGGTTGGCATCTATATTCAATTTTTGGCTTGTTACTTCAGCAGATATCCTAAGGATATTTTTAGGTTTGATTTGAAGCTTTTTTACTTTTAGTATGTAACTGAAATGCTTCTAGATTTCCATTTTGTTAAAGTATCTGTGCCATCGGTTCTAAGGAATGAAATTTCATTTTGAAATAGATGAAAATTACACTATCATTTTCAATGACAGATGCCCAGCTTGATTCCCTAGCTCATAATTATTTGTATTTGTGGGAGTAGAGAAAAACAAACCGTATTCTGGGAAACATTCATTGTCGCAGAAAAATGATATATTCTAAAGGCATATAAGTTTTCTTTCAGTAGAAAGTATGTGAGGTTCGATTTTTAAAATAATAAGCTCTCAAAATCATGACATAGATTTTGGATTTTTTTCCCAAGATTCGATAATATACCATGTTAATATTAGGTAGGGATTTAGAATTCCCAGACAGCTCCATTTTGCTTAGGACATTGCAGTAGACCGATATGCCAGCTGGAGTTTCTCCTACTGTTGTGTTGATAGAAGGGACTGCTGTTAGGTCGTGACAGAGTGGTGGGTGGGTGCGATTTTCCTGGCTTAGTCTGTGACAAGGGACTTTTCTGTCCTCTGTATAGGCCCAGCGGTGGCATCAGGGCAATGAACACTATGGGCGCTCTTGGCAAGCAGGCGATGTCGTGGGGTGTATGGTTGACATGAACGAACACACCATGATGTTCACACTGAATGGTGAAATCCTTCTTGATGATTCAGGCTCAGAACTGGCTTTCAAGGACTTTGATGTTGGCGATGGTAAGTCTACTATGTTTTGTGTTTTTTTTAAGTTTGCAGCACAAGGAAGCTTTCATCCTGAGGCTTCCTAACCGGGCGTTTCTGTTTCAGGGTGAGTGAGCAGATGAGTTGCAGCTGTAAATCGTGAGGGTGCCTTGTGACTGACTTGATCAGATGCCCTTGAAATAACATTATTAGAAATGCTATCTATACGACTTAGCTAGGATTTCTAGAAGGCTGAAATGGCTTTTATGAGTATGAATAAGAAAATAAATAGCAGATAAAAGAATAGGTTTCCATCATTGTTAAATTTTCATTTAGAACTTCCCTGCTTCATCAGCTGCCTAGAGCCTCTTTCTGTTTATTCATCTCATAAAAGTGAAATGAGGACCCACAATGGATCAGGTACTTTGCTGGATGCTGAGGTGACAAAGATGAATGAAACACTGTCCTATCTTTGTATAGATTACAGATTACCTGCCAGGGGAGGTTGACACTTGTACAGTTTCTGTTTAGTGGCTAAGTTCTAAGACAGAAAAATGCAGAAAGCTCTGTGGAAGCACCATGCAGGGAGCACGTGCTGCTGCCTGTGGGGCCCCGAGATGGCCTTTGAGCAGAGTTGTAAAGATGGAGGGTGGGCCGGGTTCAGTGGCTCAAGCCTGTAATCCCAGCACTTTGGGAGGCCGAGGTGGATGGATCACAAGGTCAGGAGTTCGAGACCAGCCTGACCAACATAGTGAAACCCCATGTCTACTAAAAAATACAAAAAATTAGCTGGGCATGGTGGCATGCACCTGTAATCCCAGCTATTTGAGAGGCTGAGGCAGGAGAATTGCTCGAACCCAGGAGGCAGAGGTTGCAGTGAGCAGAGATCACGCCATGGCACTCCAGCCTGGGCAACAGTGCAAGACTGCATCTCAAAAAAAAAAAAAAAGATGGAAGGTGTTGGTGAAGCAAGGAAGACATTTACTCTTCAGACATGCACTCCCAATTTGGTGGCCTTGGCCACACAGGGCTGTTTATATTTAAGTTAGTTTGAATTTTTTTTTTTTTTTTTGAGTCAGAGTTTTGCTCTTGTCGCCCGGGCTGGAGTTCAGTGGCGCAATCTCAGCTCACTACAACCTCTGCCTCCTGGATTCAAGTGATTCTCCTGCCTCAGCTTCCCAAGTAGCTGGGATTACAGGTGCTTACCACCATGCCCAGCTAATTTTTGTATTTTTAGTAGAGACGGGGTTTCACCTTGTTGGCCAGGCTGGTCTCGAATTGCTGACCTCAGGTGATCCACCCACCTCAGTCCTCCAAAGTGCTGAGATTACAGGCCTGAGCCACCATGCCCGGCCTAAATTTTAAAAAGTTAAGAATTGAGTTTCTTAGTCACATTGGCCACCATTTAAAGGGCTCAATTCCCTCAGGTGGTTAGGGATGCCCCTGCTGGACAGTGCAGGTAGCGAATATTTCTCTCATCACAGAAAGTTCTATTGGATAGTGTTACTCTAGAGCATATAAACAAGACAGTATCTGATACAAATTATATAATTATCTTATTTCAGCCAGGCATGGTGATTCATGCCTGTAATCCCAGCACTTTGGGAAGCTAAGGCGGAGGATAGCTGAGCCCAGGAGTTTGCGACCAGCCTGGGCAACATAGCAAGACTCTGTTTCTACAAAAATTAAAAAAATTAGCCAGTTGTGGTGGCATGTTCCTGTAGCTCCAGCTGCTCAGGTGGCTGAGGTGGGAGGATCACTCGAGTCCAGGGAGGTCGAGACTGCAGTGAGCTGTGATTGTGCCACTGTACTCCAGCCTGGGTGACAGAGTGAGACCTTGTCTCAAAATAATAATAATAACCTTATTTCAAAGATAAGCCAACACTTCTTTTCAAAATGGCTTTTGAATATATCCTGTTATATGTTTGCATATGGATTTGCATATAAAAATGTATATATATTTGCATATATATAGTCTTGGATTTTAAGATACATACCTACCTCAACCAGTATTTCTTTTTCTTTTCTTTTCTTTTTTTTTTTTTTTTAAGACAGAGTTTCACTCTTGTTGCCCAGGCTGGAGTGCAATGGCGCGATCTTGACTCACTGCAACCTCCGCCTCCCAGGTTCAAGCAATTCTCCTGCCTCAGCCTCCCAAGTAGCTGGGATTACAGGGGTGTGCCAACACGCCTCGCTAATTTTTGTATTTTTAGTAGAGACGGGGTTTTATCATGTTGGTGAGGCTGGTCTCGAACTCCTGACCTCAGGTGATCCACCCGCCTCGGCCTCCCAAAGTGCTGGGAATATAGGCGTGAGCCACTGCACCAGGCCTATTTCTAATAGTCTATATAAATTTGTCACTGATCTTCAAAATGTTAGCCAGTTTGTTGCTTGTATGAAGTTTTATATTCATTCATTTAGCTAGCTTTTGAGCAGGTATGAACATCATTTCCCTAACACAGATTTGCAAAGATAATAGGAATTTTACATTTGTGTAACTCAATATCTATGTTTAAAATTTTTAATTTTTACTTTTTGGAGATACATGGTAAGTCTAATATGTATGAGGTACATGAGAAGTTTTGATACAGGCATGCAATGGGTAGTAATTGCATCATGGAAAATGGGGTATCCATCCCCTCAAGCATTAATCCTTTGTGTTACAAACAATCCAATTATACTTCTAGTTATTTTAAAATGTATGATTGAATTACTACTGACCATAGTCACCCTGTTGTGCTATCAAATATTAGGTCTTATTCATTTTTTCTAACTATTTTTATACCCTTAATATCTATTTTGAACACTTATCTCCGGGTGGTGAAATTAGTGCTCTAACCCTCCCCTACCTGTCTCCCTTTCTCTGATATTGGTTTTAGGGATGTCAAAGTATTAGTGGGAAGGTAGGAGGAAGGCTTTTTATTGGTGTTATCTATCTGTCTACACTGGCTGCTACTATGGATGTGACTTAGGTTTCATTTTTTTAATTGGCTTTTTAAAAAATACTTGACTGCTGTGCTTCCTTTCTTTGGATGTTAAAAAAAATTTAAATGCATGTGTGAGTTCTGTTTGTATGGTACGTGGTTCACATGATACACACAGATTTGCAGAATGCTCATCCGTACTATTTAAGCACGTAACAAATGTTCATGGTACCACACAGTCACATAGACCAATCACCATTGCAATAATGAGATAGACTCTGAAGTGTGTCACCGTGGCACATGGTTTTGAACAATTTTGGCTTTTGACTTTGTATTTCATAGAATTTTTAAAATTTAAAAACTGACTTGAACTTTGTATTGGTATCTCTATCATAGAGTTAACACAGGATTTTGATGAATTGTCTGAAATTTTGTGGTTGAGGTTGCTGGGCTTTTATTAGAGGTTTTGGGAGGACCTGCGTTTTGGTCTTCAAGGCAGGTTATAAGCTTTATGTAGCAATAATCATTAAGTAGTAACTTTGTAGGGGTCAGTCATGAATCTAAATTTTCTACTATAGAAAGGCTTTCAGAGTTTATCCATGCCTATGATTTTTGAATGCTTTTTGGTACTGGAATATCTCTTCCCCATCCCTCCTCTCCCAAATTGACTTTATATAGCTTCCCAAAAAAGCTCCTTAATTTACCTGTCACTACTGGGAGCTAGCATTGAGGTAGCTAGAGCTCAAAGGATCCAGTTTGAAAAACTATTTATTTAGGGTTTTCTAGCACAGAAACATACTATGGTTGCTAAAGTACTAAAATGGATTTATAAGTGGTCTATTTTAAATTTTTCTTACACCTAGCCTGTCTTTATGTCTGTATCATGTTCGATTTGCCATTTTTAACTATCTTCATAATCTCTTCTTATTGCTACAGAGAAAGCTCAGTCATTTATACACTGACTATTAAAGTATGTGGTAAGATGGATAAATGTAGAAATTATTATCTATGGAGATATACACATACACACACACACACACACACACACACGCATACATATGTATATGTGTGTATGCGCACACATACACACAGACACATGCTGTAGATCCCTGTCTGGTCAGCTTAGTAGACAACATGGCCAAGTATATTTTGACCTTTCTATCTATTGCATAGTTTATACAACTGAAATGATTTGCTGACCAGTATAAGTTGTTTCTATATACCGTCAAAAAGAAAATCACAAACATCTTTGAAAGACTGATATGGCCATCCAGTTAAATCCAGGGGGGAGCTATGGCTATCCCAGTTCTGGAAGAGGATAGGGTTGTTCTATAAAGGTACTGCTAGGAACAACCCTATCCTCTTCCAGAACTAGATGGCGGATCACAAGATCAGGAGATCAAGACCATCCTGGCTAACACGGTGAAACCCTGTCTCTACTAAAAATACAAAAAATTAGCCCAGCGTGGTGGCGGGCACTTGTAGTTCCAGCTACTCGGGAGGCTGAGGCAGGAGAATTGCTTGAACCTGGGAGGTGGAGGTTGCAGTGAGCTGAGATCACGCCACCTCACTCCAGCCTGGTGACAGAGGAGTGAGACTCCGTCTGAAAAAAAATGAAAATAAAAAGATGCTGTTAGGTCTCTTCTAAGGGGCTGCAGACCTCTTCCTCAAATAGGGACTGCAGCAGCCCTCAGGAAACTCATCTGTTAACTGGATAAAAACCAAATGACAGAAACACTGGTCTCTGGTAGAAGGAGCAAGGCTCTCATTCCCTCAACTCCTCCTCAAAACCACGCTTACATGGTCAAGATCAAGAGCATTGTTGAACTAGAGTGAAATTCCACTAGAATTTCAGGGTTTAAAGGCCGCATTGTCTATGTGGCAGATCCTCTGTTAGGATTCTCCCTTCTCTTTGGCTTTTTAAAAATCTCTTCAGAGTATCTTTGGGGAAGGCAAAAGGATTCCTTCAATCATCACTTTTAAAAGACCCCTTGGACTGTAATGTCACAAAGGAATAGTGAGGGGCATGTGTGGAAGCAGTTTTTAGATGAGCTTAAGTTTTTCCATGAATTCTTGTCTCTTCTCACCATTGGACTGATAACCATTCAAAATCAGGATTGGGGAAGCCCAGGGAAAGAGGTTGCAGTGTTCACTCTTATGGACAGAATCCCAAGATTGCTTCTAGGAATCTTTCTCTGTGGTGTTCACACCATTTTATATAACCCTCTCCTCTTGAGTGTCAGCAGAACTTGTGAATATGATGGGATATCACTCATGATTAGGTCACTAAATCAGTTTACTTTGAGTTAGTCAAATAGAGATTATACAGGTGGGCCTGACCCAACCAGATGAGCCCTTAGGGATTGGGTCCTTCCTGAAGTCAGAGAGATACAAAATATGAGATAAATTTTCCTGCTGGACTTGAAGAAGCAGACTGCTGTGGTATGGAGAGAGCAACATGATGGTAACCTGCAGGCTGCTTCTGAGAACTGAGAACAGCCCCAAGTTCATAGCTGGCAAAAAAACAAACAAAAACCGAGAAATCTCAGTTCTACAGCCCAAGGAACCAAATTCCATCAATAACCAGGGAGCTTGGAAGATGACTCCAACCCTCAGATGAGAATGTAGCCCACGTTACCATCTTGATTATATCCTTGTGAAACCCTGAGCAGAGAACCCAGCCCTACCATGCTGGACCTCTGACCTACAGAACTATGAGATAAGAAATGAGTATTGCTTTAAATGGCTAAGTTTGTGGTAGTGTGTTCCATAGCAATAGAAAACCGGTATGTTGATCAAGGGGCTTTCTTAGGTTCAACCGAACCTTCAGACTCACAAGACTATCAAAGACCACCCATGACACCAGTCTGTTTAGAGAGAGAACAGGAATCATGGCTTGCCAGCAGGGCAGTCCCAAGGATTCCTCTTCCAACAGGAGTGTTTTTAGATGTACGTATAATTCTCTGAGTTCATACGCGGTTACCTCATCAGAAGCCATTTTTATTATAAGCCATGCTGCCTAATAACTTAGTTGACACTTCAGCTTTTACCCACAGAGGTATAGTAGCTAATCAAGCTGTGATACTCCTCCATACCAAGAACCTAGGAGGAGCTCTCCTGACACATCTATGGTCTACTGCATTTTACCAAAACCAGAGATTATTCCACATCATGTTTTGGGACCAAGGCTTTTTATATTAAAGCCATGATTTTTATATGGAGCATCCCTTTATGTACACATTCCTCAAGAGCCTAGTGGAGGTGATCCTCATCACATTAGTTGGGGGACAAGAACAAGGGTAATAGAGGCCTGAGATCTCTCTTCTTTCCCCCCACCCCCGGCGTACCTATATAAATTTCCATCCATCTTACCACATAATTATTTTCATTACTAGCCAATGTAACAATAAGAAGGAATTATGAAGATGGCAAAACATGCCATATCAAGCATGACACAGACACAGAGACAGGGTAGTTATATGAGAAATGTAATTACAGAGCACTTATAAAACCTTTCAGTACTTTAGCAACCACAACTTATTGCTGTGCTAAAAGATTTTTTCTAAATTGTTTTTCAAACTTGTAATATGACAAGAAAAAGAAATTGGAGATGATAAGAATTGGAGTAAAAGGGACGAATTTATCATCATTCGAAGACAATATAAGTATTTACAGAGAAAACCCTAAAGAATCTATACACATTACTAGGAACAATTGGAGTGTTTCACAAGGTAGAATTTCTATTCTAGCAGCAGTTAAGAAAAGTAAATTAAAGATACCATTTACAGTAGCATCAGAGACTAGCAGTAGCTAGGTATCTCTCTAACAGAAGGTATATAATACCTTTACTGAGAAAATTATTAAAACTTATTGAGAGATGGTTGACTTTATTAAAAGACTTATTACCAAATAAATGAGAGGTGTGTTATGTTCATGGAGAAGACAAAAGCCTGAAGATATTAATTCTTCCAAAAGTGATCTATAGCTTCAATCCGTCGATCAGACTTTTCAAATAAAAATCCCAACAAGTGTTTTTATGGAAGTCGATGTGATGACTCTAAAATGTATATGGAATTGTAAAGGGCTAAAATATCTTCTGTCTAAAAGCAGTGAGGGGATGCATGTCCTACCAGATAGCAGGATTTATTGTGAAGCTATAGTCATTAAAATAGAGTGGTATTGTTGTAGGGATAGACAAATTGACAAATGGCATAAAGTAGAGATGCCAGAAACATAGAACTGATATAGAAACAGATGCCATAGAACATGATGAGGTAGTGTGTCAGTATGTTGGAGAAAAGAGGCCTGTGACAAATGGGGATCTGTAGTGAAAATATGAGATGGTCACTTCTTCACACCCTATATGATAACGAACTCCAAATGGTCTTAAATGTCAACAGCAAAACTTTGAAACCACTGGTGGAGTATATAGACAAATTTAAGAACATTCATTTAAAAAAATGAATGTTCTGCTTCCTTAAAGGAAGCAGAAAAACAGTCAGGTATTAATGGGGAGAAGCTATTCACAATGTGTACAACTGAAAAAAATGTTAGTGCTAAGAAAATATAATTTCTGAAATCAAGCAAAATGATGAAAAGGTATGAACAGGTATTTCATAGAAGCAACAACTCAGAGGGACAATAAACGTGTGAAGAGATGTTCAGTATTATTGATCAGGGAAATGCAAATTCATAATTAAATGCTATTTTACATCCATTCTGTTGGCAAACATTTGTAAAGACCTGACAATACTCAGCATTGGAGAGCAGTACACCCATAGAACCTCTTTTACGTTGCTCTTAGGAGCTCAAATTGGTCTCTCCACTTTGGAAAACTGTGTGACAGGATCTCTGAAAATGGAATATTCACATACCCATGACCCAGAAATTCTACTCCAGTTTTTTAGCTACACTAGTGTGTCTCAACAGCAGGAGATATGTACAAGAATGGTTGTAGGAGCACTATTCACAATTGCCAAAGCCAGGATACAACTGAAAGCACACAGGATGGATGAATTAACTGGAAACTACGGTAATAAATGACAACATGGATATTTAAGGGAAAGAAGTCCCAAAAGATAACTATGGTAGGCCGAATAATGTCCTCCAAAGATGTTGATTGATGGCCTACTCTTGGAAATCTGTGAATATGTTACTTTACATAGCAAAAGAGATTTTGTTGATGTGATTAAGATAGTGATCTTGAAATGAGGAGATTAATTAACCTGGATTATCTGGGAAGCCAATGTCATCACAAGGATCCTTATAAGAAGGAAGTAGGAGTGTGTGTTTCTGTGTGTGTGTGTGTGTGTGTGTGTGTGTGTGTGTGCGTGTGTGTGTGTTTGAGAGAGAGAGAGAGAAAGAGAGAGATCGATCTGGGAGTCAGGGAAAGCCAGAGACCTCTAGAAATGACAGGAAAGTCAGGAAGTGGGTTCACTGCAGGGCCTCCAGAAGGAACTCAGCCCTGTTGAGCAATAGGTTGGTAGATACTTAAGAGTATTTTTAAAAGAACCAACTAAATAAATAAAAACAGGTGATGATGAGAGTGTGTCACAAACAAAAGTTTATCAGTAATCCACGGTCCACTTCTGTGTATTTTGAAATTCTTCTTTTGAGACAGAGTCTTACTCTGTCACCCAGGCTGGAGTGCAGTGGCACGATCTCAGCTCACTGCAACCTCTACCTCCCGGGTTCAAGCAATTCTCCTCCCTCAACCTCCCAAGTAACTTGGATTCCAGGCACATGCCACCATGCCTGGCTAATTTTTGTATTTTTAATAGAGACGGGGTTTCACCATGTTAGCCAGGCTGGTGGCTGGTCTTGAGCTCCTGACCTAAGGTGATCTGCCTGCTGTGGCCTCCCAAAGTGCTGGGATTACAGGCGTGAGCCACCACACCTGTTCTGAAATTCCTAAAGAAGAAACAGGATTGTGTCTGTAGAGCTTTTGGGACTGATCTAGTAAGAAGAGGAGAAATTGATGATAAAGGTATAAGTATGAGAGGAGATAATTACTCATGTTCCTGATAAGGTGAAGGGGGGTGTGATCTCAAGCACAAGTGGATGAAATGAGACAATTTTTTCATTTTAGCACAGAAAAAAAAATGGCTCAGGTACAGGTCATAGTAGTATCCTCTCTTTTATGAGCAGGGTGCTTTGTATGTGTAGGGGAACTCCCCAAGCAAAATGAACGGCTTTGAATGAATGGCTTCTCTGTATTTCTTTATCTTCTCCAACTCCCTAGTGTTTGATTGCCTCATATCCTACATAGTCCTTTGGTGCTTCCCATTGCCGCCTTCTCTGGAAGCCTATTTCCAAAGGGAAGTCTCCCTTCCATCTTCTAACATAAGCCTACACAAGAGAATTTCTTTCAAAAGATTTCTGAACTAGAGTTGATGCAATGCCCCTTTTGGAGGTATTATTTTTTTGGAGACTTATTTTGCAATGCCTCTTTTGGGGGTAATTTTGGAGATTTGTTAAGGTCTCTCACCCATTCTGCAGTTTTGATAAGGTGGTGGGAGTGGGGGCATGTACGCTCCCTCAGTGTCTCTCGCCCATTCTGCAGTTTTGATAAGGTGGTGGGAGTGGGGGCATGTACGCTCCCTCAGTGTCTCTTCCTGCCTGCATCTTTGGGATAAGTCTGTGACCTCTGGGAACAGAAGAGTCCTGCAGTGAATGGCTTAAGATGGTCCTGGCCACATGGAGAAATGGTCTCTTCCTTGATGACCTCTTGGGTTGGGTTTATCTCTCCCTGTTCTTTTGTACCATTAGAATAGTAACATCTTAAGGACTGAGAATCAGATATCAGCTTAGAGGGAAAAAAAAAGAAACAAAACACAACTAAGAAGGCCAACCAGTGCCTTTCATTCTAAGTCTCTGGAGAAACAGAAGCAAATCTTCTAGTTCATTTATGATCTAAGCCCAGCTCACCAATTTAAAAAATCAGAACTTGAGTCCCAAATACCAGCTAATAATAAATTGTACTTTTTCTTTGCCTTGTGCTCTCTTCCTTGCCACGTGAGGATAATTTACTTCTTCTTCTTCTTTTTTTTTTTTTTTTTTTTTTTTTGAGACAGAGTTTCACTCTTGTTGCCCAGGCTGGACTGCAGTGGCGTGATCTTGGCTCACTGCAACCCCCGCCTCCTGAGTTCAAGCGATTCTCCTGTCTCAGCCTCCAGAGTAGCTGGGATTACAGGCATGCGCCACCATGCCCGGCTAATTTTGTATTTTTAGTACAGACAGGGTTTCACCATTTGGTGAGGCTGGTCTCGAACTCCTGACCTCAGGTGATCCACCTGCCTCGGCCTCCCAAAGTGCTGGGATTACAGGCGTGAGCTGCTGCACTGGGGGAAAATTTACTTCTTAAAGCACACTCATAGGGCAAATTTCCATGGGTCAAAAAACTATTATTAATTTAATAGGAAAAAAGTGCATTCTTGAGCTCCTATATTAAACCTAATTTGTATTAAAATTATACTAAATCTCCCTAAAATGAAGTCAGTAATTAATTAACATGTCATATGCTCACCTAAATGTATTCCCTTCTTCACTTGTTCTTCAGTTTGGTTGTTAACCTGTTCTACCAAAGCTTGTTCTTAACTATCACATAGTATAAACTCCAGATTCCCTTACAGAATATATCATACCGAATATGTACATAATTCAAACTTCAGTGTAAGGAAAGCAAAACAAAACCAGCAACAATAAAGTTGGAAAAAAACAATAAAGACAAAGGAATGTCAGTGAAGAAACGCAGATGATATCTGATTTACCCAGCATATTGACGGCATAGGGAAAACCATGCACAGAGTCTTCTCTGATGTGAAGCGTGTGCTTGTCTGCTGAAAGAACTTAGGCGCTATGGGCTAATTCTTACGACTGTGAGGAAGACTGCACATCTCACTCTGCTTCTGCTTGGCTCCTCCAGAGCCACGTGAAATCACAACAATTCTTTTTTTTTTTTTTTTTGAGACGGAGTTTTGCTCTCGTTGCCCAGGCTTGAGTGCAATGGTGTGATCGCAGCTCACTGGAACCTCCACCTCCCAGGTTCAAGGGATTCTCCTGCTTCAACCTCCTGAGTAGCTGGGATTACAGGCACACACCACGACGCCTGGCTAATTTTTTGTATTTTTTGTAGAGATGGGGTTTTACCATGTTGGCCAGGCTGGTCTCAAACTCCTGACCTCAGATGATCCGCCTGCCTCAGCCTCCAAAGGTGTTGGGATTACAGGCGTGAGCCACTGCGCCAGGCCCCAACAATGCTTTAAAAAAAAAAAAAATGAAGAAATGCCTTAAGGGGTAATGAAATGAATTTCCCATAAAGTAGAATTCAAATTCTTCTAATGAGGGATGATTTCCGGGTTCCTTGGGGCTCCACACACATGGCTTTGGTGGACATGTGTCTGCTGGCAGATACAGCGTTCTGAATACAAACCGTGTCTCCATTCTACCTGTTATGGACTGAGTTGCATAGCTCTAACCCTCAATGTGGCTGTATTTAGAGATGGGGCCTTTAAAGGGGTAATTCAGGTTAAATGAGGTAATAGTGTGGGGCCTTAATCCAGTATGGCTGGTGTCCTCATAAGAAGAGGAGAAGACACCAGGGTTGACTGTGCTCAGAGAAAAGACCATGTGAGGATACAGCCAGAAGGCTGCCATCTACACACCATGGAGAGAGACCTCAGGAGAAACGAAGCCTGCTGACACCTTAATCTTGGCCTTCCAGCCTCCAGACTGTGAGATCACACATTTCTGTGGTTTAAGTCACTCAGTCTGTGATCATTTCTTATGGCAGTCTGAGCTGACCAATACACCACCCCTTCTACTCTTGCATCCCCTACTAAGCTAGTACTATTCTCAATTTATTCTTACGGGAACAGCCTTATATTATCAGTAGTTTGAAGAGCTAACCATATCCTTAATTAAAAATAAGTGAGAGAGTCACTTAAAATCTTGATGTATAGTTTATGGTAAAAGAACGGTTATTTATGTTTGGAGATTACCACATTCTACAGTGTCTGCTGTGGATACGTATCTTGTGTTGTCCATTTCAAGCTTCTCAGCTATTCTGCAAGTAAAGATCATCTCAGAGGCCCATGATGGTTATAATCAAATCCAGAAACAATACTTTTGAGTCTGTATTTGCCACCTGAAAGGAGTGTGAGTAAAATTGAATTCCTGGTCCTCTCAGAACTCATGGAATTCCTTTCCTCGGGAGAAAACCAGATTATTTTTGTAATTAAAATAGCTGTATAGCTGTAGACAGAAAAGAAAATAAAAAAGAGAGGCAGGGAAAACTTTCCATTATTGATTTTATCATGCTGCTGTTTTAGAAAAAAAAAAGAAGCCAGGATATAGAACTACTAGTTTGTTCCTACAGTATGCTTTGTACCCTCAGTTGAAATATTGCAGCAGTTAGATTATTTGATGGAAATGGGTGGCTTATTCAGAAGTCTGGTTTTCAACATGGTGTGAATTAAGGTTAGTAGGTCTGTACCATCCCCAAACCCACCTGCCTGGCTTTACCATAACAGCTGAAGTTCCTGTCACCAGCATCCTCTGTGCAACCTGCTATCATGATACAGACCTGGGAGAGTAACTTATTATTGGGAATCTCCTTAATTAAAAATCAACACTTGTCAGAGGAAGGAAGAAATCAGGACTGTGAGGCCAACTTCTATAGCAGAGGAATCCAAGTACAACCCAATTCTGAAATGATTCTTGTGTGGCCTTGGGCAAATAGCCTGTTTTCATTTCCTTAAAATAAAAACACAAATTAGAGATGATCTCTTCTTGTCTAGTTCAGTTCTAAGATTCCAGAAATCAAAGGCAAGTGTTTTTCTGTTTGTTTGTGTTTTACCTTCCCTCTCAGAGTTCTTTATTTTTTATTTTTATTTTATTTTTATTTTATTTTTTGAGACAGAGTGTTGCTCTTGTTGCCCAGGCTGGAGTGCAGTGGCATGAGCTCAGCTCACTGCAACCTTCACCTCCTGGGTTCAAGCGATTCTCCTGCTTCAGCTTCCTGAGTAGCTGGGATTACAGGCACTGGCCACCACACCCAGATAATTTTTTTTTTTTGTATTTTTAGTAGAGATGGAGTTTCACCACAATGGCCAGGCTGGTCTCAAACTCCTAACCTCAGATGATCTGCCCACCTTGGCCTCCCAAAATGTTGGGATTGCAGGAGTGAGCCATTGTGCCTGGCTAGCATTCTTTAAAAAAAAAAAAAAAAATCAACTTTGATTTTAGATTCAGAAGCTATATGTTCAGGTTTGTTGCCTGGGTATATAGTGTTATGCTGAGGTTTGTAGTACAATTGATACTTTCACCCAAATACTGAATATGGCACCCAATAATTTTGCAACCCTTGTCCCCCCACCACAGTTGTCCCCAGTTTCTGTTTTTGCCATCCATCTTTATGTCCATGAGTACCCAGTGTTCAGCTCTCACTTGTAAGTGAGAATACACAGTGTTTGGCTTTCTGTTCCTGGGTGCTAAGATATGGCCTCTGGCTGCATCTATGTAGCTGCAGAGGACATGATTTCATTTTTTTATAGCTGCATAGTATTTCATGATGTATGTGTACCACATTTTCTTTATCCAGTTCACTGTTGATGGGCACTGAGGTTGATTCCATGTTTTTACTATTCTGAATCGTGCTGGGATGAAACCTATGAGTGCGTGTTTCTGTTTTTGGTAGGATGATCTATTTTCTTTTGGATATATATATATATATACCCAGTAATGGGATTGCTAGGTTGAATGGTAGTTCTGTTTTAAGTTCTTTGAGAAATCTCCAAACTGCTTTCCACAGTGGCTCAACTTATTTACATTCCCACCAACAGCGTATAAGCATTCTCTTTTCTCCACAGCCTCGTCAGCATCTGTTCTTTTTTGACTTTTTAATAATAGCCATTCTGACTGTGTGAGATGGTAGCTCTTTGTGGTTTTGATTTGCATTTCTCTGATGATTAGCAATGGGAACATTTTTTCATGTTTGTTGGCTGCTTGTATGTCTTCTTTTGAAAAGTATCTGTTCATGTTTTTTTGCCCATTTTTTAAATGGGGGTGATTTGTTTTTTACTTGTTGGGTTATTTAAGTCCCTTATAGATTCTGGATATTAGGACCTTTGTCAGAAACATAGTTTGCAAATACTTTCTCCCATTTTGTAGATTGTCCTTCTCAGCATTCTTGATTCAAATTCTAGCATCCATTTAACTACCTATAGAAACTTAGACAAATGACTTAACATCTTAGTTGTTTCCTCATCTGAAAAAATGGGATTAATATTAAATAATATAGGCAAAAGTACTTATGTATTATATGGCACATAGTAGGCCACAAGCAGCTAGCTGTTACCTTTTCTTCTGATCAAAAAATGTGAATTTACATCTTCATATAATATTGGTCATTTTTATCTGCTTTTTGGCCATTTGGTTTGGGTTATATATTTAATACATGGATTCTTAACTGTATTTCAGAAATGTTAAAATTTGAAATAATTTATTCTTAGGAAAAGCTGGTACGCTTGTGATCTGCTTTATCTTCCTTTTATTGTAGCCCCAAACAGAGATTTCAAGCCTGTATTTTGCCCCTACATCTTTGGGACTGCTAGCTCCTTGGCTGGATTTGCATGCTCATCACCCTCCCCTCTGCTCTGGAGCAGGGAGGCTCATCAGCACAGAAAGTTAAAATTTGCTGAAGCCATCTGTCTTTTGTTGGAGGAAGCAGCTTAGCCATAAGTTGTAGCTACTGTTTTAACAGATTTGCAAATAGTTAGGGTGGGTCTGGCTCAGGCCCAAGTAACTGATTGGGCTCATATGCACTAATTTAAGATCCACTGCCAGAATGAAAACTTCCCTTATATATCATCAGGCTCTGTTATTTGCAGGGTGTCAATTAAGGTAACTGGATAGAAGATCAAGAACACAAAGGACAGGAAGGTGGGACCCATATTTTACATGTGCTGGGGGAGAGGCATGATTTTGTGGAAATCTGTTTTATTGTGTTGAAATACTTGTGTGTGTTCTGCCTACTTCATGCTAATAAAGAATTGAACCCCAGTTATGTTTAGCTATGGAGTGATGATTAAGAGTGATGTCATTTACCAACCTGTTTTGTTCAATTTATGCCAAACATTCCATCTTAATATCATTTATCATTTTCTGACACTATATGATGTAGACAGTGGTATACAATGGTAACTAGTTTTTTATTTACCTGTTACCTGTCTTTTGTATTCAAAGTTGTGCTCCAGAAAGTCAGGGGTTATTTTTGATTTTGTTCACAGCTATATTCCCAGTGTGTAGAACAGTTCCTGGCACATGGTAGGTGTTCATTAAATATTTGCTGAATGGAGACACCTGATACTCTATGAAGACAATGTAGAACAGTAACTTAGAAAAGGGATTGCCAAACTAAGGCCCAAATCCAGCTCACCACCTGTTTTTTTTTTTTTTTTTTTTTTTTGAGACAGGGTCTCGCCTTGCTCTGTCACCTAGTCTAGAGTAGTGTGGAGTGATCATAGTTCATTGCAGTCTTCAACTCCTGGGCTCAGGTGATCCTCCCATCTCGGCTTCCCAAGTAGTTGGGACCACAGGCACATGCCACCATGCCCAGCTAATTTTTAATTTTTTAAAATAGCTCTTTGAAAAACAAAGCTAACTCCTAAGCAGTGTGCCCAGAGTCAACCTAATTTGTTATTTTTTTTTTTTCTTGTAGAATCAGGGTCTCGCCATGTTGCCCAGGCTGGTCTCAAATTCCTGGGCTCAAGCGAGCCTCCTGCCTCAGCCTCTCAGATACAGATACAGGCATGAACTACTGCCTTGGCCCTGCTGTTTTAAGTAAACTTTTATTGGAACACCACCACGCTTGTTTGTTTACCTACTGTCTATGGCTGCTTTTGCACTATAGCTCAGAGTTGAGTCGTTGCAACAGAGGCCATATGATCCATGAAACCTAAAATGTCTTCTCTGTAGTCATTTATAGAGTTTGCTGAGCCCCAGGATAAAGCATGGGCATTGGGATCCACCAGACTTGGATTTATTTTCTGGTCACTTAGTAGCTGTGAGGGCAAGTGATTTAAACTAAGATTTTGGTTTCCTCATGTGGAAAATGGTAATAACGATTCCTATCTCATTGGATGGTTGTAAGGGTTCACCAAGATGAAACATCAGGAAACATTAACTACTAATATGGAGCCATGTGTGCTGGGAATTTCATTTATTGGCGACCTCTTCATTACGCAGGATACTTTGTCATGTACTGAACAAAGGGAGGTGACGGAGGCCTGGCCCTTTCTCTGTGTGGCAGCTGAACAGTACCTGTAGTTTTTCTCCACTCTGTCTTCTTTGATCCCATTGCCACATAGTTGTCCTTGCTGTGTATAGGCTAATTTTTAAAAGTAAATGTAGTTTCTAGAAATATTGGTTGTTTTGTTATAATAGATTATTAAAACCATAATTTCAGAAGTAAGAATATGATTTGATTTTTCCTGTTAAGTTCTGCTTCACTTAAAATGAGAAAAAAATATGCTAGTTTCTACCTGTGGAGGTACTTGCATAAATACATTCCTTTAAAGGGGACCAAAACAGTAAAGCAATAAATAGAAATACCATCTACTGGTATAATTGCTATAAACTAATGCAAAAATGGGGTGTATTTAATTATTTATTTTAAAAGTTTTATATTGCTTTTGAATATTTGGAAAATACACAGGAATATAATGAAAGTGATTAAAAATTACAAACATTCCCACTACACAGAGAAAAAATTGACTTTTAATACATCTCTCCTACTTAAAGAACTGAGATGATAGTGTAAAAATAATTTTCCATCACCTCCTTTTTAACTTAATATTACATATTTGTCCAAAGGCTTAGAAACATTTTAAACATACTTTTTTGGTTTTTTTAAAATCAACTTTTTGTTTTGAGGAATATCTGCCCTGCAGAAAAGTGCAAAAAAATGCTTTGGTAACACCTGTATATTCTTCAATCGTCAATTATTTTTATTTGCCATATTAATTTTATCTCTCTCTACAGTTTATTTTGTTGAGCCCTAAAGATGACTTTTAATGGCTGCACGTATTTACTCCTGTGTATGTATCACAGTTAATTATTCTCAGGAATAGATTATTTCTCTTTTTACCTTTTTGTACCATTTAAAATTCAGTTCACTGAGCATTCGTGCTAAGCATTATACATACAAGATCTAACTTTAAAACTATAACCCTAAGGGGCAGGAGTTACAGAAGATAGGATTAAAGCTTAGAGAATTTAAGTAACTTGCCAAAGATCAAATAGCTAACAAGTGGAGGGGCTAAGACATGAATCCTGGTTTACTGGACTTAGAACTCTGTGTTTTTAATCACTTCATAGTAATATCTGTCTGCCATCTTCTTAGATGTTAACTCTTCTACAAAACCTTCCTGACTCCCATCTCTCCATACTTCCTTTGCTCCTAGAACCCTGGCTGCTTAGATGGATGGTACGCTATTTCAGTATAACAACTTCTTTTTTTTTTCTTTTTTTTGAGACGGAGTCTTGCTCTGTCGCCCAGGCTGGTGTGTGGTGGTGCAATCTAGGCTCACTGCAATGTCCACTTCCCAGGTTCAAGAGATTCTCCTGCCTCAGCCTCCCAAGTAACTGGGACTACAGGTGCCCACCACCATGCCCGGCTAATTTTTATATTTTTAGTAAAGAAGGGTTTCACCATATTGGCCAGGCTGGTCTTGAACTTGTGGCCTCAAGTGATCCACCTGCCTCAGCCTCCCAAAGTGCTGGGATTACAAATGTCACTGGGCCCAGCCAGTATAACTTCTTTACTTTTCTTTGTATGTTATTAGACCACGAGCACGTTTTGCCCTGGATCTGTGTTAGTCATCTTTTACTCCTACTTTCTGACACATGGTAGTTGCTTAGTGAGTAATTATCGAATAAGTAAATGAATGGTTGAAAGCTTCTTAACACATATTACCAAATTGCTCTACATAAATCTTATACTAGTTTAAGTTGATTTGGAGGATTTCTGTTACTGAATTCACCACCTGCCAACATTGAGTGTTAGGACTCAAACAGTATGTTGTTTGGGCCATTTTATGTCCACACCACTCTTACAAATTTCTTTATGGGAAAGAAATTTTTGTCCCATTTTGTTAAATAAAATTTTAAAAATGAAAGCTTGTTTTTTAATAAAATATATATACATTGAAGAAAATTTGTTAAATTGGGAGCCATAGAGAACAAAATTACCAGGAATTCCACTATTCTGAAGCTTTTAAATAAAAACCCTGCTGCTGTTTTCCTATTTAAAAATAAACCATATGTTATCTTTCTTTCTTTCAATAATAATTACTTGGAGTATTTTCCTATGCATTAGTGGGCCTTTGAAAACCAAAATGTCAAAGGCTGAATAATGTTCGTCTCACGAAAAAAAGTATATTTATTATCAAAACAGTATTCTAGAATTGTAAACATAGCTATGGGGAACAGTTTAGGACATAAATATTTGTGCATATTACTAGACACTGAATATTTTAAATGAAAGTATTTCAAATATGCAGAAAAGTTTAGGTATTAGTGAAACAAATAGCCAAAGGTCAACTATACAGATATTTACAGCTATCCAATAACTTTCCATGTAGGCTAGGAACTCCTTCTACAAATAAAGTGATCAGAAAGAAATAGATGTTTACCATTTGAGGAAATGTTTCTATCTTGGTAGCTCCTAGTTTATGTTAAATGGGTGCTAGATTTACTAATTTCTGTTAATGCAGTTCAAGCTGTCTGAGATCTATTGTATTTACACAATACAATAGATTTTTTATTTGATTTGATTTCTTTTTATTTGATTTCTTTGGGGACACTCATTTAAAACAACTTTTCTTGACTATAGCTTTAAGAGCTGTCACAGCTGCAGATACAGCTGCAATTTTTTTTAGTTTTAACTAGAAACTCATCATTTACTCTTCCTTGAACACAGCTGGATATGTTCTTTTTTCCTGGTTGGTGGCACTGTTATACAGCTATTCATATGACTATATGTTGCTGCATACAAACTGGGTAAAATCATTATGAATTATTGGATGTAATTTTTATCATCTTATGCTATTTTGGGGGTTATATATTGCTTTCACTGCCACTAATTTCAGTAAGAGAAAAGTGTGTAAATCATAATGACAGAGCTAACTACAATTCTTGTCAAAATTGTTGGCTTATTCTTAGGATCCATTGGTTTTATGCTCTACAAATTAGAGGATCTAATTTGTAGTCTGCATTCCAATACTGACGTTTTTAGTGTGCTGCCTACTTGAACATTCATGTAAAACATTACAGGAAGAAATGAAGGCTGGGCACAGTGGCCCACACCTGTAATCCCAGCACTTCGGGAGGCCAAGGCAGGCAGATCACCTGAGGTCAGGAGTTTGAGACCAGCCTGGCCAACATGGTGAAACCCTATCTCTACTAAAAATACAAAAATTAGCCGGACGCAGTGGCGTGCACCTGTAGTCTCAGCTACTCGGGAGGCTGTGGCTGGAGAATCACTTGAACTTGGGAGGCGGAGGTTGCAGTGAGCCAAGATCACAGCATTGTACTCCAGCCTGGGTGACAGAACGAGACTCCGTCTCAAAAAAAAAAAAGAGTACATAAACACCCATCCCTGAAGAATATCATCTCATCCCCTTGTGAAAAAAAAAATCTCATCTCCTTTCCAAAAAATACCATCTCATTGTCTTGCCAATCAATTCCAAAGAGCTCAAAAAAACAATTAACAAAGTTAGTATAGTTCCCCTTTTTGTTCAAAAGAGGAAAGATTTGCTAACTCTGACACACATGGGAAGAGCTTATGAAATATTTTATTGGTTTTTGCTCTATTGTTCATTGCTATTGCATATAAACATAAGATTATATATATAATTTGTGCATTATAAATGTACCTCATTCATGCATAAATACATGCTTCATACATTAAACATGTATTTTTCCCCCATGCTTAGATCCAGTTTATTCCAGAAAAAAAGCAAAATTTTCTTCAAAGATCAAAAGCAACTATTAGTAGATGGAAAACTTTTAAATTTTTGCCTCCAATTCTTTTTTTTCTTGAGCTATGTATGAGGAAATCTATAGCTCAGACTGTGTCTGGTGTTAGTATGTATCAAGCTCTTTAGCCAGAAGGAGGAGCAAGGCAAGTGAACCACATCCCTTGGCACTTAGTTCCTTCTTACTTTCCCTATATGAGAGAGTACATGCACTCCTGAGCAAGGAGACTGCAGGGCGGGGATCTCTAGAATCCCCGGAGGACCAGGGGCTGCATAGCATTTACTTCATCTTACAGAGTTAAGTCTGAGATGACAGAAGGGACTTATCTAGGGCCCACAGCTAGTAAATTATAATGTCAAGATCAAATCCTGGTTTTCTCACCCTTATGGGTAATATTTAATGTCATTGTTCCCTTTATTACACTACTTTTTTCACCCTAGGGTGACAGCTCTCACAAAGTTCGGTCCTGGAACAATATGTTTGATAATTCTATACTAACAGGATCATATACTAATGGTACTAAAACTTGATTTTTTTTTTCTTCCCAGGATTCATACCTGTGTGTAGCCTTGGAGTGGCTCAAGTGGGTAGGATGAACTTTGGAAAGGATGTCAGCACCTTGAAATATTTCACCATCTGTGGCTTACAAGAGGGCTATGAACCATTTGCCGTTAATACAAACAGGGATATTACCATGTGGCTGAGCAAGAGGCTTCCTCAGTTTCTTCAAGTTCCATCAAACCATGAACATATAGAGGTTTGCTTTTTCTTTAAAAATCAGGCCATTTCTAAAAAGCAGGAAAAGAATATCTTTATACAAAGGAACTTCTGCTTAGACAATTATTATGACTTACTTAAAATGATGACCTTGATGTGTTATATAGTAGTGGAATCTAAGCAAAGATGGTACTTTCTACCAGCTATCAGTGGATGGGAAACTTTTAAATTTTTGCTTTCAATTCTTTTTTTTTTTTTCTTGAGCTATGTGTGAAGAAGTCTATAGCTCAGACTATGTCTGGGGTTTGTGCGCATCAAGCTCTTTAGCTAGAAGAAAGATCAAGGCAAAGGGAACCACATCCATTCTCATATTAGTTACGTTACAAGTAGCTTGTTAGAATGATGAAAAATACTTTCCTTTTTATGTGTGGGCAATGTCAGGCTGAATCTGAATATATAGAATTATAAGATAAATTTCCGAAACCGTCTTTAGAAACAGAAGCAGAACTCTATGACTATATCCATAGCACAGTAATCTGTTTAATCATCTCTTACAAAATGATGCCATGTGTGGACCGCATTTGGGATTCTGAAAACGTGATGTGCCTTAGTCATCTTTAGAATCAGGAAATTGACAATGGTGATTGGAATGTGAACTATCGCTTCTTCGTTTGCTAGGTGACCAGAATAGACGGCACCATAGACAGTTCCCCATGTTTAAAGGTCACTCAGAAGTCTTTTGGTTCTCAGAACAGCAACACTGATATCATGTTTTATCGCCTGAGCATGCCGATCGAGTGCGCGGAGGTCTTCTCCAAGACGGTGGCTGGAGGGCTCCCTGGGGCTGGCCTTTTTGGGCCCAAGAATGACTTGGAAGATTATGATGCTGATTCTGACTTTGAGGTTCTGATGAAGACAGCTCATGGCCATCTAGTGCCCGATCGTGTTGACAAAGACAAAGAAGCTACTAAACCAGAGTTTAACAACCACAAAGATTATGCCCAGGAAAAGCCCTCTCGTCTGAAACAAAGGTTACTAATTTATACGCTGTGATTTTAAATTTGTAGTTATGTGAGGAAGGTTACAGTCCAGAGTAAAGGGTCTCCTAGTGTAAATTTTTTCCTCCTTCTCCTCCTCCTCCTCCTCCTCCTCTTCCCCCTTCTCCTCCTCCCCCTCCTCCTCCTCCCCCTCCTCCTCTTCCCCCTTCTCCTCCTCCCCCTTCTCCTCCTCCCCCTTCTCCTCCTCCCCCTTCTCCTCCTCCCCCTTCTCCTCCTCCTCTTTGTGCAAAGGATGCTGTAGGGAAAAATTAAGCAACCTGTTAGTCATCTAATTTGTTAGCGTAGGTGCAATCTATCTCAAGAGTTACTTTTTAAGATGTCTGTGTTTACATTCTTGCCTGAAACTTGCAGAGCATTTTCTCCAAATAGTATTTTTTATGATAAAGGCGGCAAGTTATTTTAACATCCTTTCTTATACTAAATCAGAGTTTCTCAGTCTCAGCACTATTGACACTTTAGGCCAGACAATTCTTTGTTGAGGACACACCTTGGACATTGAAGGATGCTGAGCAGCATCCTGACCTCCACCCACTAGATGCCAGTAGCACTCCATCCCCCAAACTGTGAGAACCAAAAACATGTATTTTCAGATATTCCCAGATGTCCCCCAGGGAGCAAAATCGCCCAGGTTTAAGGCAACTCAATTGATTATATGCTCATATTTGAAGTAGACAGAACATTTTAATGTTGCTTATTGTTAGTCCTCTGAAATATTTCAGATTTTTGCTTAGAAGAACAAAGCCAGATTACAGCACAAGCCATTCTGCAAGACTCACCGAAGATGTCCTTGCTGATGATCGGGATGACTATGATTTCTTGATGCAAACGTCCACGGTATGAGGTTGCAGCTTTTGTCGTTTATTTCTATCTGTCACTCATTATGTTTTACATCTCCAGTAATACATACCGATTCATCATACTTAGTAACATTATTTTTAAAATGTCTGTTTCTGTTTTTGGATATATTTTGGGGACTGAAAGTTTGAAAAAAGTTTACGTATTATGATGGATATTATGCAATACAAGAGTTATTTTAGAAAAAATATTTGTAATGGCATGCATAATCTTAATTTTGCTCTGTTTCTTGACAAAATTTTAAATTGCCCTTGAATTTTTCAACTACATTTGATTTTCTTCATCTTACTGAATTGTCTGAAGATCAATCATCATAATTTGTGAGAGGTCAAGCTTTGCTCCCTTCCATTTTAAATTCTCAAAGCTACTTCTCCTAAAATGCTACATTGAAAAAGTATTTAGTTGTGTTCATTGTAGAGTGATCCCATATTTGAGTTTGATGTTCACATGTTCTGAACTATTTCAAAATGAGTTTAGGCCAGGTGCAGTGGCTTAAACCTGTAATCCCAGTACTTTGGGAGTTAGAGGTGGATGGATCATCTGAGGTCAAGAGTTCAAGACCAGCCTGGCCAACATGGTGAAACGCTGTCTCTATTAAAAATATAAACATTAGTGGAGTGTGGAGGTGGGCACCTGTAATCCCAGCTACTAGGGAGGCTGAGGCAGGAGAATTGCTTGAACCCAGGAGACAGAGGTTGCAGTGAGCCGACACGGTGTCACTGCACTCCAGCCTGGGTGACAGAGTAAGACTCTGTCTCAAAAAAAAAAAAAGTGAGCTTAAAGTTCAAAATGTTATGTGTCAGAGAAAGGAAAGGCCAAGAACATGCAAAAAAGGTGGGTGACGAGTATAAAAACCCAAACATTGGCCAGGTGCGGTGACTCGCGCCTGTAATCCCAGAACTTTGGGAGGCTGAGGCAGGTGGATCACCTGAGGTCAGGAGTTCGAGAACAGCCTGGCTAACATGGTGAAACCCCGTCTTTACTAAAAATATAAAAATTAACTGGGTGTCGTTGTGCACACCTGTAGTCCCAGCTACTCGGGAGGCTGAGGCAGGAGAATCTCTTGAACCTGGGAGGCAGAGGCTTCAGTGAGCTGAGATCACACCACTACACCCCAGCCTGGGTGACAGAGTGAGAGTCTATCTCAAAAAAAAAAAAAAAAAGTGAACATAGATTTGCATACATGTATAAGCTTGAAGAATTTGAAGCTTCCCTATGCTTAATGGATTCGTGGTTTTATTACATACATACACTGTATATGTGCACATATATATGTATGTGTGTATATTACACACATCTAGCACACACATATATGCTGACCAGCATAAAAAGACTTAAATCATTTAGCATGTTTGCTCAGATCACATCTTTTCTCTCTTTCCTGTTATTTCTTATTTAATTCAGGATCTCTGGTAAAAGACGTTTCTTAGTTTGTAGTGTTAGTCCTTTGTGCCTACAATATTTTCATTCACCCAAACGGTTTTAAACCAAGAAGTGAATTCTTAAGTCATTCACAGACTTAGACACAGTTAGGATTGCAAATCCAAGTTTTGTTTTGTTTAGTTTTACTTTGCCAATATTTGGTTCTGCTATCTTCACAGTACTATTACTCAGTGAGAATCTTTCCTGGACAAGAACCTGCTAATGTCTGGGTGGGCTGGATTACATCAGATTTCCATCAGTATGACACAGGCTTTGACTTGGACAGAGTTCGCACAGTAACAGTTACTCTAGGAGATGAAAAAGGAAAAGTGCATGAAAGGTTAGTTTTCCTCAATTTTTTGCAAGAATGACATGTGAAAAAAATATTGGTGAACCTAGCTATTCCTTTTCCTTGTATTTTGTGACCAAGGTATTTCTATTTATAGGAAGAATATAATCAAGCCATTAATGTCAATGTCGTTTTTGTTATTCATACAAACCAGTTAAGGAATCTAAATGTGTTAAATGTGCAAACATTGTACAGTAAGAGCAGTGCAGCCTTTTGGGGTAATGATCATATATTCCTTCAGGTAACATGACTAACAGCTTGGGTTACCAATACTTAGCCTTTGTTTTAGGGTTGAGAGATGGGTGAATGTGCGGCTTTTAACCAATGACTTGATATAGATTTCGGGAACTGGCTATGTGGTGGGGAGAAAACTGTGAAGACAATGTGGGCTGGTAGTTTAGACCAGGTGGACGCATTTGAACTCGGACTGAGGAGAAGTGGGTTCTTTCCTCAGCTTTGCCATTGACTCGCTGTGTGGCTTTGGGTAAGTCAGTTACACTTTCTGTGCCATCTTTTTTTCATTTGTAAAACAAACCAAACTCAAACCAAACCTTCAAAAAAGTGAAGAAGGCTATCTTCCTTGCAGAATAAGACAAGAGAAGATCTGACCATTGGCTTCTACCTTTTGTGCCCATGCATCCTCTCTGATCTGCTGTGACAGGTCTCCGAAAGAGTCCTTTATAACGTTGCTTTTCTTCTATACTTGCACCATCATTTTTTGGGAAACTCACTTTCCTGCCCTCGGGTTGTAACATATGAAGCATAATGGACTTAGCATTTTCAATGGGAGCCCAGCAAAAATCTCTAATGAAGAGCTCTTTACATAAGTTTGGAACAAAAAAACCACATGTCTCCAGGAATATTTTTTGGGGGCCATGCTTAATTTTCAGGGATGGCAACAGTATAAGTAAAGAACTCAATATAGGGATGGGATAACTGAAAGATGATTTTGTTGGAGGAAATGGAAGATAGGGAAGGGTCATTGGATTTTATGTAGATAGTGTGAAGAAATGCAGCCTACATTTGATTACTCAAAAACTGATTTATCCCAGCCTTTTTGTTCTTTCCCTTCTGCTTGCCTGGCTTTAGCCTTTTTTGCTGGTTTTGTTAATATGTTTACTGTACAGTGGCAAAGAAAGAGAATGCTGATAAGGCTCAAATTACTTAACTTTGTTACCATCTCTAGTAAAAGCTTTAGGGAAGGTGAAAATCAGGTGGCATTTGTGGTTAATATCACTGGGTTTTTTTTTTTTTTTTTTTTTTTTTTTTTTTTTTTTTTTTTTTTTGCATATTCTAGTTAAATCTGTCTCTCAGATCACTGGGAATTGTCCAGAAAGGGGCAAAATTTTAGCCAAATTTTAAGTATATCAAATCACTGAAGGCTTATGTAGAATTTGCCTAAGGACTTTGATAGTGTCTGGAAATAAATGCTTCTCATTTCAGAACAAGTGGTAAAACAAAACAAAACAAAAAAAAGCTAAAAAAAATCCATGAGATGAAAATTACAAATTTGGATGATTTTTAAATAGTTAAACTTTTTTGAACCCAGAAAAAGGTCTAGTTTGGTTTGAGTTTTTGGAGAGAAGGTGCAGGTCAGTTCTTACTTGGTTCCAACTTGTTGACCTGTCTTCATTAGGTGTGAAATGTAGAGACTTATAAGACCTGATTCAGAACGTCCACTGCAGTCAATGGAGTTTTGCTCAGAATCACAGAATCGGGCCTATTGTGCACCTCTCCCATTACAGCATGAGCTTGTTGCTTGCGCAGCATAATTTAGTTAGTTTGCAAGATATACCTGCTTTCTCTTTTATCTGTGGTTGTACAAAGATAAAAATGTTCTTTTGAAATTCAGCATCAAACGCAGCAACTGCTATATGGTATGTGCGGGTGAGAGCATGAGCCCCGGGCAAGGACGCAACAATAATGGACTGGAGATTGGCTGTGTGGTGGATGCTGCCAGCGGGCTGCTCACATTCATTGCCAATGGCAAGGAACTGAGCACATACTATCAGGTACGCGGTCAGTGATGATATCAGTCTTCTAGGGAGGAAGACTTCTTTCCCCCATTAAAGGAAAACACAGTTTGTAAGATCAAAAAGTAAAATAGACACATGTACATGTGCCCCTGGTCTGAAAATCAGCCGAGCAGACCTGCCCCTAGCAAGCCCTCCTCATAGCTGTCCCAGCCACTGCACTCCTGTGACCTGAGAAACAGGTCTCACCCCAACAAAGCTGCACAATCACCACCACAAATGCCTGTAGCGAGACCACTGAGGCACTTGCAGATGCTGCTGACATAAATTACAGCTGAAGAATCTGCACAGATACTACACTACCGCATCCACCCAGAACCAAAACCAGTGTATCCTACCCAACCGGTACCCTAGAACCCATCTACAGGAAAAGCTATTTCCTACAAAAGCTACTTCATAAAGTTGGAAGAAGCTACTGTTTTACCAGATGAACAGATATCAAAGGAACACAAGAAACACGCGAATGGAAGGAAACATGACTCCTCCAAAGGAACACAATAATTCTCTAGTAACAGATCCCCCTCCCCAAAATAAATTTATAGGATGCCTGAAAAGAAATTCAAAATAATGATCTTAAGGGAACTCAGTGAGATACAATAAAATGCAGATACTTCAACAAGATTAGGAAACCAATTCATGATCTGAATGAGATATTCAATGAAGAAATACATATAGTAGAAAAGAACTAAACAGAAATCTTGTAACTCAAGAATTCAATAAATGAAATAAAATATACAACTGAGGGTTTCAACAACAGACTAGATCAAGCATAAGAAAGACTTTATGAACTTGAAGACAGGTCTTTTGAAATAACCCATCCAGAGGGAGAAAAAGAAATAAAAATAAGAAAGAAGGAAAAAAGCCTATAGAACTTATGGGATGCCACTGAGCAATGGAGAAAGGCACAGAAAACGTTTAACAAAATAATGACTAATAACTTTCCACATCTTTGGAAAGATATGGACATCCAGATCCAGGAAGCTCAAAGGATCTCAAGAGAATCAACCCAGAAAAGTCCTTTCCAAGGCACATTATAATCAAACTGTCAAATATCAAAGAAAAAGAATCCTAAGAGTAATGAGAGAATAGCACCAAGTCATATATACTTGGATTTCCATTTGACTATCAGCAAGTTTCTCAGCAGAAACCTTGAAGGCTAGGGAAATGAGATATATTCAATGTGCTGAAAGAACAACTGTCAGCCAAGAATACTATGTCTAGCAAAGCTATCCTTCAGAAATGAAGGAAAAATAGAGTACTCCACAGATAAGCAAAAGCAGAATGAATTCACCACCTCTGGACCTGCCTTAGAAGAAATGCGTAAGGCAGTGCTAAAGCTGGAAGCAAAAGGATGGTAATTACTATCATGAAAACATGTAAAAGTATAAAACCCATTCGTAGAAGTAAATTTTAAATCAAACTCAGAATACTGCAGTACTGAAATGGTGCTATGCCAAATCTTTCAGACCTCTAGTACTCTAGTATGAAGGTTAAAAGTCAAAATTGTCAAAAGTAACTACAGCTACAAGTAGTTGTTAAGGAACATACAATATAGAGAGATGTAAATTAAGGCATCAGAAATATAAATTGTGAGGGGAGGGTAAAAGTCCAGAGTATTTTTTTTTTTTTTGAGACAGAGTCTTGCTCTGTTGCCAGGTAATGGTGGGATCTTGGCTCACTGCAACCTCTGCCTTCTGGGTTCAAGCAATTCTCATGCCTCAGCCTCCTGAGTAGCTGGGATTATAGGCATGCACCACCACACCCAGGTAATTTTTGTATTTTTAATAGAGATGGGGTTTCACGATGTTGGCCAGGATGGTCTCGATCTCCTGACCTTGTGATCCGCTCACCTCGGCCTCCCAAAGTGCTGGGATTACAGACATGAGCCACCATGCCTGGCCAGTCCAGAGTATTTTTATGCAACCAAATGTATCAGCTTAAGATGGTCTATTATAACTACAATATTGTTTGTCTTAGTTTCATAGTAACCACAAAGAAAAAATTGCAGCAGTCACACTAATGAGAAAGGGAAAGGTATCAAAGCTTAGCACCACAAAAAGGTATCAAACCACAAAGGTAAGCAAGAGAGCAAGAAAGAAATGAAGGATCTAGAAAACAACCAACAAAATATTAGGAATAATTCCTTACCTATCAATAATAACCTTGAATGTAAATGAATTAAATTGCTTAGTTAAAATATATAGAGTGGCTGCATGGATAAAAAGCAAGACTCAACTATATGCTGCCCACTAGAGATTCACTTCACCTTTAAGGACAGACATAGCCTGAAAGTGAAGGGATGGAAAAAGATTTTCAATGCAAATGGAAACTGAGAGTGAGCAGAAGTAGCCACACTTAGATAAAATAGACTTAATTCAAAAAATGTAAAAAAGAGTCAAAGAAGGTCATTAATAGAAAAGGATCAGTTAAGAAGATATAACAATTGTGAATTTATATGCATTCAACACTGGAGCATCCAAATATATGAAGTATGTTTTATCTAAAGGGAGAGATAGGCTTCAATGCAACAATAGTAGGGAAGTTCAACACCCCACTTTCAACAACAGCAGATAATCCAGACAGAAATTCAGCAAGGAAACAGCAGATTTAAACTGCACTCTAGACCAAAGGGACATACTAGACATTTACAGAACATTCTGTGCAACAGATGTATAGCTGAAGAATACACATTATTCTCAACTGCTCATGTGGCATTCTCCAGGACAGATCATATGTTAGGCCACAAAATAAATCTTTAAAAATTTAAGATGATATCGTATATATTTTCTGATCACACTAGTATAAAACTAGAAATCAATACTGAGAGGAACTGAGGAAACTTTACGAATACATAGACATTAAACAACATACCCCTGAATAACCAGTGGGTAAATGAAGATGTTAAAAAAGAAATTAAAAATTTTCTTGAGACAAACAAAAATGGCGACACAACATACCAAAAGCTATGGGATACAGCAGAGGCAGTTCTAAGAGGGAAGTTTACAGTATTAAATGCCTACATTTAAGAAGTAAAAAATAAACCACCTAATATTGCACCTCCAAAAACCACAAATACAAGAACAAACTAAACCCCAAATTAATAGAAGTAAATAAATAATAAAAATTGGAACAATAACGAAACAGAGACTAAACAATACAAAAGATCAATGATACGAAGAGTTGGTTTTTTGAAAAGACAAAATCAGTAAACCTTTAGCTAGACAAAGAAAGAGATGACTCAAATAAATAAAATCCACATTGAAAAGAAGACATTACAACCTATACCACAGAAATACAAAGGATAATGAGAAAATATTATGAAAAATTGTATGCCAACAAATTGGATAACCTAGAAGAAATGGATAAATTCCTAGATGTATACAACCTACCAAGACTGACTTATGAAGAAATAGAAAATCTGAGCAGATTAATAGTGAGTGAGGAAATTGTATCAATAATGAAAAGTCTCTATCAAAGAAAAGCCCAGGACTAAATGGGGGAAAAGTTGAAAGCTTTTTTTTCTAAGGTCTGGAACAAGACAAAGATGCCCACTTTCACCACTTCTGTTCAACATAATACTAGAAGTGCTAGCCAGAGAATTTGGCAAGAAAAAGAAATAAAAGGCATCCAAATTGGAAAAGAAGTCATCAAATTGTCTCAGTTTGTAGATGACATGATCCTATATATAAAAATACCTTTAAAAGTTTACTAAAAAACTGTTAAAACTAATACATTCAGTAAATTTGCAGGATACAAAATCAGCATACAAAAATCAGTATTTCTTTGCACTAGTAGTGAATGCTCTGAGAAAAAAAATCAAGATACAATCTCAGTTACAATAGCTTTAAAAATCAGTTATCGGCTGGGCGCAGTGACTCATGCCTGTAATCCCAGCACTTTGGGAGGCCGAGGCGGGTGGATCATCTGAGGTCAGGAGTTCTAGACCAGCCTGGCCAAAATGGTGAAACCTCGTCTCTACTAAAAATACAAAAAAATTAGCCGGGCATGGTGGCAGGCACCTGTAATCCCACCTACTGGGGAGGCTGAGGCAGGAGAATCACTTGAACCCAGGAGGCAGAGGTTGCAGTGAGCTGAGCTCCAGCCTGGGTGACAGAGTGAGACTCCATCTCAAAAAAAAAAAAAAAAAAAAAATCAGTTATCTAGGAATACATTTAACAAAGGAGGTGTAAGATCTCTACACTGCAATCTATAAAACATTGGTGAAATAAATTTAAGAGGACAGAAATAAATGGAAAGATATCTCATGCTGTTGGATTGGATGGATTGGAAGAATTAATATTATTAAAATGTCCATAGTACAAAAAGTAATTACAGATTCAGTGAAGTCCCTATCAAAATACCAATGACATTATTATTCTATTATAGAAATAGAAAAAATAATTCTAAATTTCTTATGAAATCACAAAAGACCCCAAGCAGCCAAAGCAATCTTGAGCAAAAAGAATAAAGCTGGAAACATCACACTAACTGAGTTTAAAATACACAAAGCCATAGTAACCAAAACACTACCTGACTTGAAACTATACTACAAAGCTATGGTAACCAAAACAGACATATAGACCAATAAAACAGAACAGAGAACCCAGAAAAAAAAACACCTATCCATATCCAACTAATTTTCAACAAAGGTGCCAAGAACACACATTGGGGAAAGGACAGTTTCTTCAATAAATGGTACAGGGAAAATTGAATATCCACATGCAGAAGAATGAAATTGGACCCCTATTTTTCACCATATACAAAAATCAACTCAAAGTGGATTAAAGACTTAATGTAGGACCTTAAACTATGAAAGTACTGGAAGAAAACATGGGGGAAACACTTCATGACATTGGACTGGGTAAGGATTTTTTGGACGAGACCTCAAAAGCACAGGCAACAAAAGCAAAAATAGACAAGTGGGATTATATCAAACTAAAAATCCTCTGCACAGCCAAGGAAACAATTAACAGAGTGAAAAGACAATCTACAGAATGGGACAAAATATTTGTAAACTATACATCTGATAAGGGATCAATATCCAGAATATATAAGGAACACAAACAACAATAGTAAAAACAATCTGATTTAAAAGGGGGCAAAAGACCTTAATAAACATTTCTCAAAAGAAGGCATACAAATGGCCAACAGACATATGAAAACATGCTCAACATCACTAATCATCAGCAAAGTGCAAATCAAAACCACAATATTACCTTATTCCAGTTAAAATGGCTATTATCAAAAAGACAAAAGATAATAAGCATTGGCAAGGATGTTGAGGAAGAGGGAAACCCATACACTGTTGGTGGGAATGTAAATGAATATACCCATTATGAAAAACAGTATGGAGGTTCCTCAACAAATTAAGAATAGTACTACCATATGATCCAGAATTCCTGGGTATATATCCCAAGGAAAGGAAATCAGTGTGTGGAAGGAATATCTGCACTTCTATAATTATCACAGCACTACTCACAATAGCCAAGATAGGGAATCAGCCTAAGTGCCCATCAATGGATTAGTAAGTGAAGAAAATGTGGTATATATACACAGTGGAATACTATTTGGTCATAAAAAAAATGAGAACCTGTCATTCGCACCAATATGGGTGAGCCTGGAGGATATTGTGTTTAGTGAAATAAGCCAGACATAGAAAGAAAAATACTGCATTGCCCACTCATATGTAGAATCGAAAAAAGTTAATGTCATGGAAGTAGTGAATAGAATAGTGGTTATCAGAGACTGGGAAGGGTAGGTGAAAGTGGGGGAGAGGGAGCAGATACCCAATGGGTATAGAGTTAACATTAGAAAGGAAGAATAAGCGCTGGTGTCCTATTGGACAGTAGGGTGACTATAGTCAACCATCAGGTATTGTATATCTCAAAATAGCTAGAAGAGAGGATTTTGTATGTTCTCACCACAAAGAAATGAAAAATGTTCAAAGTGATAGACATGCTAATTACCCTGATTTGATCATTACACAATGTATGCAAGTATCAAAACATCATGTTACACCCCATTAAATATCTACAATGTGTCAATTAAAAAACAGTAAATTAGAAATTAAAAGAAAATGGAAAAAGTTAGATTAATTATGTATGTTTACTTCTGTTAAATAATGACAATGCCTTAAGCCCTTCAGAGTAAACAGAGTATGTTCCCCAAGCAGTGTTCACATAGTAATGAAATACTCTAATTCTTGAAGGAGCACATCAATCGATATGCAAGAAAGGAAAATCTCTGGGCTCCTTCTGTAAAGTATTCCTTTGTTGTTATAAAGAAAAACTTTTTCCCTTGTCTTGTTTCATTACTAACATTATTAAATTCATTAAATGTATTTCAGGTGGAACCGAGTACAAAATTATTTCCTGCGGTTTTTGCACAAGCTACAAGTCCCAATGTTTTCCAGTTTGAGTTGGGAAGAATAAAGGTAATAAAACTTATTCCTGGTATTGTATTTGTATTTTTTCTATTAGGATATAGCATTGATTTATTCTGAAATGAATTCAGTATATTAGTACTGATATGAATCAAATAAATCATTCTTTCAAGAAAAGATAGCCATGCTTGAAAATCTCTTTCAGGTCACAAGGGTAACAAAATAATTAAAAAGTGTTTCTCTTTAGTTATCATATGTATATTATTCAATAAAAGGCCTATAGAAAAAAAAATGCCGAGATTACACACATTGCAGCAGTCATTGAACTGATAGGTGAGCTAATGAATGGACTTAAAGATCTGAAACCATGCCACCTACAATAGTGGTATGTATGGAATACTCCAGTAACATAAATGAAAGAACAACTCAGTTGGATGGGTTGGATCAGCTAAAGCTCAAAGAAGAGGTAACATTTAGTTTGATTACTAACTGTAAAATAGAAGCTCTTGGGGTACGTTTATTAGGAGAGGTCATTCTGGGCAGAGGATGAGAAGAAGCAAAAATATGTAAGAGTGAACATGCTGAAGGTTAAGGAATTCAGTGTAACCGTAACAAAGGATGCCTTCCAGAATGTGGCTGGAGATTAAGATGGATAAAAGGTAGAACAAGTCCAAGTTGAAAAGGTCTTGTGTGCCATGTGAAAAGGTTAGCATCTATTACATAGACAAGGGAAATCCATTGGAAATTTGAAGAAGGGGATTGAGCATAATGAAACTTGTTTTGGAAAAATATGTTGTTATTAATGTGGAGGTGGGCAAGAATGAGAATAATCAGTAGCAATGAGGTGTCAATAATTTGATACTGTCTACATGGAAGACAGTGATTAGAGCCATGGAAGTCAGAATGAAAAATGATAAATGTGAAAACATTCTAGAGAAGAAATGAATACGCGAAGGCCCGTGGTGGGTGATGACATGATGTGATTTCTGCCCAGTGCTCTGAATGTCAAAGTGAAGAAATTCAATGAAGGACGGGTAAACGGCGGGAGTAACTATGACTCTCTTAAGGTAGCCAAATGCCTAGTCATCTAATTAGTGACGTTCATGAATGGATGAACGAGATTCCCACTGTCCCTACCTACTATCCAGCGAAACCACAGCCAAGGGAACGGGCTTGGTGGAATCCGCGGGGAAAGAAGACCCTGTTGAGCTTGACTCTAGTCTGGCACGGTGAAGAGCCATGAGAAGTGTAGAATAAGTGGGAGGCCCCTGGTGCCCCCCTGTCCCAGCAAGGGGACAGAGTGGGGCAAGGCCAGAGGTGAAATACCACTACTCTGATTGTTTATTCACTGACCCCGTGAGGTGGCCCCAAGGGGCTCTTGCTTCTGGCGCCAAGTGCCCGGCCACATGCACATGCCAAATTGTAAAGACCATCGATGCTAGGAAGAAACTGCGTCAACTAATGAGCAAAATAACCAGCTGACATCATAATGACAGGATCAAATTCACACATAACAATATTAACCTTAAATGTAAATGGGCTAAATGCTCCAATTAAAAAACACAGACTGGCAAATTGGATAAAGAGTCAAGACCCATCAGTGCTGTATTCAGGAGACCCATCTCATGTGCAGAGACACACATATGCTCAAAATAAAGGGATGGAGGAAGATCTACCAAGCAAATGGAAAACAAAGGCAGGGATTGCAATCCTAGTCTCTGATAAAACAGACTTTAAACCAACAAAGATCAAAAGAGACAAACAAGGCCATTACATAATGGTAAAGGGATCAATTCAACAAGAAAAGCTAACTATCCTAAATATATATGCACCCAATACAGGAGCACCCAGATTCATAAAGCAAGTCCTTAGAGACGTACAAAGAGACTTAGACTCCCACACAATAATAATGGGAGACTTTAACACCCCACTGTCAACATTAGACATATCAACGAGACAGAAAGTTAACAAGGATATCTAGGAATTGAACTCAGCTCTGCACCAAGCGGACCTAATAGACATCTACAGAACTCTCCACCCCAAATCAACAGAATATACATTCTTCTCATCACCACATCGCACTTACTCCAAAATTGACCACATAGTTGGAAGTAAAGCACTCCTCAGCAAATGTAAAAGAACAGAAATTATAACAAACTGTCTCTCAGACCACAGTGCAATCAAACTAGAACTCAGGATTAAGAAACTCACTCAAAACCACTCAACTACATGGACACTGAACAACCTGCTCCTGAATGACTATGGGGTACATAACAAAATGAAGGCAGAAATAAAGATGTTCTTTGAAACCAACGAGAACAAAGACACAACATACCAGAATCTCTGGGACACATTTAAAGCAGTGTGTAGAGGGAAACTTATAGCACTAATGCCCACAAGAGAGAGCAGGAAAGATCTAAAATTGACACCCTAACATCGCAATTCAAAGAACTAGAGAAGCAAGAGCAAACACATTCAAAGGCTAGCGGAAGGCAAGAAATAACTAAGATCCGAGCAGAACTGAAGGAGATAGAGACACAAAAAACCCTTCAAAAAATCAATGAATCCAGGAGCTGGTTTTTTGAAAAGATCAACAAAATTGGTAGACCACTACCAAGACTAATAAAGAAGAAAAGAGAGAAGAATCAAATAGATGCAATAAAAAATGACAAAGGGGATATCACCATCAATCCCACAGAAATACAAACTACCATCAGAGAATACTATAAACACCTCTATGCAAATAAACTAGAAAATCTAGAAGAAATGGATAAATTCCTCGACACATACACCCTCCCAAGACTAAACCAGGAAGAAGTTGAATCCCTGAATAGACCAATAACAGGCTCTGACATTGAGGCAATAATTAATAGCCTACCAACCAAAAAAAGTCCAGGACCAGACAGATTCACAGCCGAATTCTACCAGAGGTACAAGGAGGAGCTGGTACCATTCCTTCTGAAACTATTCCAATCAATAGAAAAAGAGGGAATCCTCCCTAACTCATTTTATGAGGCCAGCATCATCCTGATACCAAAGCCTGGCAGAGACACAACCAAAAAAAAGAACTTTAGACCAATATCTCTGATGAACATCGATGCAAAAATCCTCAATAAAATACTGGCAAACGGAATCCAGCAACACATCAAAAAGCTTATCCACCATGATAAAGTGGGCTTCATCCCTGGGATGCAAGGCTGGTTCAACATACACAAATTAATAAACGTAATCCAGCATATAAACAGAACCAACGACAAAAACCACATGATTATCTCAACAGATGCAGAAAAGGCCTTTGACAAAATTCAACAGCCCTTCATGCTAAAAACTCTCAATAAATTAGGTATTGATGGGACGTATCTCAAATTAATAAGAGCTATTTATGACAAACCCACAGCCAATATCATACTGAATGGGCAAAAACTGGAAGCATTCCCTTTGAAAACTGGCACAAGTGGCCTTCTCTCCCCACTCCTATTCAACATAGTGTTGAAAGTTCTGGCCAGAGCAATCAGGCAAGGAAAAGAAATAAAGGGTATTCAATTAGGAAAAGAGGAAGTCAAATTGTCCCTGTTTGCAGATGACATAATTGTATATTTAGAAAACCCCATCATCTCAGCCCAAAATCTCCTTAAGCTGATAAGCAACTTCAGCAAAGTCTCAGGATACAAAATCAATGTGCAAAAATCACAAGCATTCTTATACACCAACAACAGACAAACAGAGAGCCAAATCATGAGTGAACTCCCATTCACAATTGCTTCCAAGAGAATAAAATACCTAGGAATCCAACTTACAAGGGATGTGAAGGACCTCTTCAAGGAGAACTACAAACCACTGCTCAATGAAATAAAAGAGGACACAAACAAATGGAAGAACATTCCATGCTCATGGGTAGGAAGAATCAATATCATGAAAATGGCCATACTGCCCAAGGTAATTTATAGATTCAATGCCATCCCCATCAAGCTACCAATGACTTTCTTCACAGAATTGGAAAAAACTACTTTAAAGTTCATATGGAACCAAAAAAGAGCCTGCATTGCCAAGTCAATCCTAAGCCAAAAGAACAAAGCTGGAGGCATCATGCTACCTGACTTCAAACTATACTACAAGGCTACAGTAACCAAAACAGCATGGTACTGGTACCAAAACAGAGATACAGACCAATGGAACAGAACAGAGCCCTCAGAAACAACACCACACATCTACAACCATCTGATCTTTGACAAACCTGACAAAAACAAGAAATGGGGAAACGATTCCCTATTTAATAAATGGTGCTGGGAAAACTGGCTAGCCATATGTAGAAAGCTGAAACTGGATCCCTTCCTTACACCTTATACAAAAATTCATCCAAGGTGGATTAAAGACTTAAATGTTCGACCTAAAACCATAAAAACCCTAGAAGAAAACCTAGGCAATACCATTCAGGACATAGGCGTGGGCAAGGACTTCATGTCTAAAACACCAAAAGCAATGGCAACAAAAACTAAAATTGACAAATGGGATCTAATTAAACTAAAGAGCTTCTGCACAGCAAAAGAAACTACCATCAGAGTCAACAGGAAACCTACAGAATGGGAGAAAATTTTTGCATTTTTGCAATCTTCTCATCTGACAAAGGGCTAATATCCAGAATCTACAAAGAACTCAAACAAATTTACAAGAAAAAAACAAACAACCCCATCAAAAAGTGGACAAAGGATATGAACAGACACTTCTCAAAAGAAGTCATTTATGCAGCCAACAGACACGAAAAAATGCTCATCATCAATGGCCATCAGAGAAATGCAATCAAAACCACAATGAGATACCATCTCACACCAGTTAGAATGGTGATCATTAAAAAGACAGGAAACAACAGGTGCTGGAGAAGATGTGGAGAAATAGGAACACTTTCACACTGTTGGTGGGACTGTAAACTAGTTCAACCATTGTGGAAGACAGTGTGGCGATTCCTCAAGGATCTAGAACTAGAAATACCATTTGACCTAGCCATCCCATTACTGGGTATATACCCAAAGGATTATAAATCATGCTGTTATAAAGACACATGCACACGTATGTTTATTGTGGCATTATTTACAATATCAAAGACTTGGAACCAACCCAAATGTCCATCAGTGTTAGACTGGATTAAGAAAATGTGGCACATATACACCACGGAATACTATCCAGCCACGAAAAATGATGAGTTCATGTCCTTTGTAGGGACATGGATGAAGCTGGAAACCACAATTCTCAGCAAACTATCACAAGGACAAAAAACCACACACCGCATGTTCTTACTCACAGGTGGGAATTGAACAATGAAAACACTTGGACACAGGAAGAGGAACATCACACACCGGGGCCTGTTGTGGGGTTGGGGGAGGGAGGGAGGGATAGCATTAGGAGATATACCTAATGTAAATGACGCGTTAATGGGTGCAGCACACCAACATGGCACATGTATACATATGTAACAAACCTGCACATTGTGCACATGTACCCTAGAAGTTAAAGTATAATAAAAAAAAGAATAGGATTTAACAATGAATTGGACTAATAGAATTTGTAGATGAATGGAATTCAGGATCTCAAGGAGACTGAGAATGAATGATTGATTTAAAATTTTAGTTTGGACAATTTGACCATGCTAATCAAAAAGTAGAAGAGCTTTTCGAAATTCAGGAAAAAAGGTTGAACTTAATTTTGCAATTGTAAAGTTGAGGTTCCAGGCACACATTGGAGTGAATAGAGTAGATAGTTTTATTAGGCTGGCTTGGTGACCTTGGACATCTTTCTTAAATTATTTGAGCTCAGTTTCTGCATCTATAAAATGGGGTTCACAGTATCCGTTTTATGGAGTTAATATAACTAAACATCTTGAGCAGTGCTTTATACATGGTATACAGCAAATTTATATACTCAATAAATTTACATACAATATACATACGTATGCATACCTATATACACATATGTATACACCATTGTGCTAAAAAGAGCTATGCTGGAGATTAAAATTTTCATCATCAAGAAATCAGTTGTAATTCATCTTTGAGTGTGAATGGAATATTTGAGGGCAGATGTAGAGAGTGGGAAGAGATGGCTGAGGAGAGAGCCTGGTTGTATCAACTAAAAAAGAGGAACCTATGAGATAGGCTGAGGGCAGAACTCTCAAGAATGTTGGAGAAGAACTGAAAGAGACATTTTAGTAGACGCCAAGCGAGGATGGAGTTTTCTAAACAGGAGTGGCTAACAGCGGATGCCGTAGATGGACTCATACAACTCGGAGTAAAGGAATTCCTGGCTTTTGTTAATGAGGAGGGCTTTGGTGGCCTTGCCAGAAGAATTTAAGCAAAACAATGGGAGAGGGGCTGGTCTCAGTGGCTCATGCTTGTAATCCCAGCACTTTGGGAGGAAGGAGGAATCACTTGAGCCCAGAAGTTTGAAACCAGCTTGGGCAACATAGTGAGACCCCATCTCTACAAAAAATAAAAAATTATTTTAGGCAGATGTGGTGGTGCACGCCTTTAGTCCCAGATCCTCCAGAGGCTGAGGTGGGAGGATCACTTGAGAGTGCAGACATGGAGGCTGCTGTGAGCCGTGATTGCGCTGCTGCACTCCAGCCTGGGTGACAGAGGGAGACCTTGTCTCAATTATTATATTAAAAAATGATGAGAGGAGCCATGTGACAGTGAATTCAAGATTGGAAATGAGAGAAAGGAGGCAGCAAGTTCAGACTGACCTGTTTTTTTTTTTTTTTTTTTTTTTTACAAAATTGGACAAGGAGTTGTAGTTTCTCAGAAGCCTGACTGATATATTCAGTCATCTATTGACTATTGACTTCTACTGACATTTTCATTGGCCGACTAATAGCTATCACAAATTGAATGCATCCATACTGGACTGCTTGCTCTCTTCTCTTCTTTTCCTTTCTTCTTTCTCTCTTCTTCTCTTCTCCCTCTCCCTCCCTCCTTCCCTCCCTCCCTTCCTTCCTTCCTTGTCCCTGTCCCTTTTCTTTCTTGCTGACAGTCTCACTCTGTCACCCAGGCTAGAGTGCACTGATGTGATCTCAGCTCACTACAACCTCTCTCTCTCTCTTTTTCTCTTTCTCTCTCCTTCCCTCCCTCCCTTCCTTCCTGCCCTCCTATCTTCCTTGTCCCCATCCCTTTTCTTTCTTACTGACAGTCTCACTCTGTCACCCAGGCTAGAGTGCAGTGATGTGATCTCAGCTCACTACAACCTCTCTCTCTCTCTTTTTTTCTTTCTCTCTCCTTGCTTCCCTCCCTCCATCCCTCCCTCCCCCCTTCTCCCCTTCCCCCCTTCCCTTTTCTTTCTTTCTGACAGAGTCTCACTTGTCACCCAGGCTGGAGTGCAGTGACACGATCTCAGCTCACTGCAACCTCCGCCTCCCAGGTTCAAGCAATTCTCCCACCTCAGCCTCCTGAGTATTTGGGACTACAGGAACATGCCACCATTTTTGTTTTTTTTTACAGGCGAATTTTTGTATTTTTAGCAGTGGGCCAGGCTGGTCTTGTACTCCTGACCTCAAGTGATCCACCTGCCTCGGCCTCCCAAAGTGCTGGGATTACAGGCGTGAGCCATGGTGCCTAGCCCAGTCTTTCTTTAAATGTTGCTTTCTCAATGATGCCCATTCTGACAACCCCATTTAAAATTGCTGCCCTTGATTCTGGTTCCCCCATTCTAGCTTTCTGTCCCCCAAACCCCCAGGCCCATGACATCTCTTTTAAAATACCATTTAATTCATTTAATTTACTTATTGATTTTATTTCATACTTTCAGTGAGAAAAATGGAAGCTATATGAGGGCAGGGGTTTTGTTAGTTTTATTCATTAGCATATCATCAGTATTTAAACCAGTACTTGGTTTTTCCCCGCCTATTGTTAGAGGGCAATAGGAAAGCAGTTTGAGGATGAAGTAGTCTACAGCATGCAGTTGAGGGGGCTCTAGAGGAGAAGAAGAGATAGAAGATAATGCAGAAATATGAGATAATGGTTTTCTTATGGTCCCATAAGAGGCAGGCATCGGTGTTGTCAAGATCATAGATAAATGAAGAAACTTTTGGCAAAGCAGAGACCTCTCTTTCTTTGACACCAGACAGAAAGAATTAAGGATGGCTGAAGATGATACTGGAGGTGGAGGAGAAATAAGTAGGTTTGTTAATGCCTAACATATTCTGTTTTCTTATTCGGTAGTCAGGTTTATCTGTTGAGCTTTATCTGGAATACTTCTGGCTAGAGGAAGTGTCTTAAGGACGAGTTGGGTGACAGAGAACAGATATTGAGAGAGAGAGCCAGGGGGATGTGACATATCTGTCATTCAGGAAGTTTGGCACTGAAAGTCCCTAAAGACTTGCCAGCTTTCCCGGAGGTCCCAGCCTGGTAAAGAAATATAAAGGATATATGGGTATGCTTGGCCTTCTCTCTGTGCCATTCAGTATATGGGAAAGACACATCCCGAAACCTGTTTGACTGCCCGGAAGGTGTAGGTATTCTCTCTCATAATGTATTTCCTGGTTTGTCCTTTCAGAAACTTTTCAACCCAATTTCTATGATTTCTTGTGTTGACTTTGCTTGACTCATAGGGTTATCTTACTTTCCCTGTCTCTGTCCTGTGCAGAATTCTAGTCATTACTTTGTGAACCCCAAGGGATGTTCTACATTTATTCTTTTTCTGCCTCCCCATCCGCTAGAATGTGATGCCTCTCTCGGCGGGATTATTCAAGAGTGAGCACAAGAACCCCGTGCCGCAGTGCCCCCCGCGCCTCCACGTGCAGTTCCTGTCACACGTCCTGTGGAGCAGAATGCCCAACCAGTTTTTGAAGGTAGATGTGTCTCGAATAAGTGAACGCCAAGGCTGGTTGGTGCAGTGTTTGGATCCTCTGCAGTTCATGTCTCTTCATATCCCTGAGGAAAACAGGTCAGCCCCAGTGAATCCCTGACATTCTGATTGGGACGCTTGGGATTAGCCTGCTGCCCGGGGCTTCCGGTAGTGGTGCGGGGCAGGGGTGGTTCTAAAGAAACAAGATGAAATTTACAAAGATCTAAATTCTTTAGGCAATGGAGTCATTATTCTGCGTATTCTAAGTTTAAGTTTATTTCTCAACCATTCTGTTACTGAAAAAAATTATTCTGTAGTTGAAGATGCCACATGATGGTTTCTTCATTCACTCTTGCGTTACTTACAATGACAATGGCGAATAAAAATTCAGACAAGTGCAACTGCAATCCGACTTATGACTTAGCAGAGTACTGTAATAGAGAATAGTGAGATATTAGAGATGGAATCATAAGAATCACTTATGATTCCTATGTTCAACCCTTCATTTTATAGATGTAAAAAACTGATCCAAGAGATATTAATGAAAGAAAATTGGGAAAATACTGGGAGTGTCTTCGAAACAAGTTTATATGCATTCTAGGCAGTAATAATAGTAACATAAAGTATAATAAGTACTCAAAGGTATTTGAGTAGCTTTGTTTATGATTTTCTGTTTTTCCATATGATAGCCAATTAAATTGCAGAGATTTCATTTAAGCAGCCTTCTTATCAATAAGGAGCTAAGTTTCTAAGTTTTGGGCCAAGATTTCCCTCCCAAAATGCCACTGAAATGTTGAATCACAAACTGAGTAAAAACAAGTCATGAAAGTAATGCACAAACATATTTGTATGTTTTAAGTCTTTAATCTGAAAATAATTATTGAAGCCAGGTCCATTTTTATATCTTTAGATGTTCTTGGCATTTTTTATTTTAATATCTTTAAAATTTAACCTATGCTTTGGAAAACAGTTTGTCAGTTCCTCAAAAAATAAAATTATAGCGTTAACATGTGATCTAGCAATTCTACTCCTCGTATATACCCAAGAGAAATTAAAATATGTCCACACAAAAACTTGTACATGAATATTCATAGAAGCATTATGAACAATAGTAAAAGAAAGGGAACCCCAAATGTTCACCAGCTTATGAGTCAATAAACAAAATGTGATATATCCATATAATATTATTTGGCAATAAAAATGATTGAAGTACTGATATATGCTACAAAATGCAAGAACTTTGAAGACATTATATTAAGTGAAAGAAACCAGTCACGGAAGTATATTAAGTGAAAGAATCCTACTAGTGTGGGATTTTATTTAATTGAAAAGTCCATAATAGACAAATCTTTAGAAACGAAAAGTAGATTAGTAGTTACCTAGGGCTAGGAGCGGAACAGGACTGCTAATGGGTACTAAATTCCTTTTGGGATGATAAAAGTGTTCTAAACTCAACTTATAGTTATAGTTACACAACTCCATTAATATACATAAACTATTAAATTATGTATTTTAAGTAGGTAAATTGTATAGCATGTAAATTACAGTTCAACAAAGATATTTTAAAACAAAAGAAAATCAAAGAAAAATTAATCTGGCTAGTTAATTCTTTTTATGTATTACATATGTATTTACATTTTTTACATGAGGTAATTAGATATCTTTCATAATGTACTCTTGAGATGGTTCAGTTTGATTTTAATTTTGTATTCTTTTTTTTTGTGAGAAGAGTTTTATCATAATTTTTCATCTGATGATGTTTTTTAAGAAAATACCGAACAACCAAAACAAACACAACATTTGGGAAGGAATTCTTGTTTATGAAGGAAAACGTTGTGTCTCTACTGAGCATGGAATTTTAACATTATAATTTAACATTTTGGCATGCTATCATCGAAAACCAACATAACACCTTGTCTCAGTAGTTTATATTAATTGCCTGTGATAGATGTGTATGTATGTGAATGGATAATGTAAACTCTCACTAAAGATCATAAAGGATTTGAGGCAGTTTTCCAAATGATATGGAACATGAATGTATAAAAATGTGTCACTGGCATCAGGCCATAGAAAATATATGGATAGGAAAATAAAACTGAGGCTAAGAGTGACACACAGTCATTTATACCACACCGATTGGTAGAGTTGGGGCCCACATTAATTTCATTCTTCCTAGCAGCCAAAGAAAAATATGATGAGTTTCAAAATCCAAATTCCAAAAAAGGAAGTCTTAACTAGCATGGTTGAGAAGAATCTGATGCCCCAATAACATGACAAATCATTAATATTTTAAAGTGTGCAATGGTGGTAGATTTATGTCAGTGTGTACTTTGTTTCTCCTTAACACATGTCACAGTTTATAATTTAATTTACTCCATTTTGGTCAGCGGGGGTGGTTTACTCCCTCAATTGAATATAAGCTCCCTGGGGGCAGGAATCATGTCTATATTATTCACCATTGTATCATCAGTGCGCAGTGCTAATACATAATAGGCACTCAGTGATATTTGATGAACAATTGAATGACAATGACATATGAAAGAAATTTCTCCACTAGAGACTTTTTTGTTGTTGTTTCTTTATTTATCTATTGTTTTGAGGTGGAGTCTCACCATTGCCCAGTCTGGAGTACAGTGGCGCGATCTCGGCTCATTGCCACAGATCCTTGATACAATGGAGGAGGAAGGAGGTGCTAGATGAATGTCAAATTCTATGTAGAAGAAAATTTGTAGAACATCTAGAAATGATTAAAAGTACTATGCAGCCATTAAACATGTCATAGAAAATTAAAAGAAGACACAGGTTGGGTGTCCCAAATCCAAAAATCTGAAATTCGAAATGCTCCAAAATCGGAAACATTTTGAGCACCAACATAATGCTCAAAGGAAATGGGGTATTTCACATTTCAGACTTTCAGATTCAGGATGCTCAACCGGTAAGTATAATGCAAACATTTCAAAGTCTGAATAAAGTCCCAAATCCAAACAATTCTGGTCCCAAGCATTTCAGATTAGGGATGTTCAACCTGCAGTGTCTATTCCCATAACTTTTTTCCTTCAAATTTACAGTGCATACTGATTTCTCCTCTGATTCAGATTTTAAAAAATCATTCATTTCTAATCTTACTACCACTCTCCTCCCTTCTACAGATCTGTTGACATCTTAGAGTTGACAGAGCAGGAGGAATTGCTGAAATTTCACTATCACACTCTCCGGCTCTACTCAGCCGTCTGTGCTCTTGGGAACCACCGGGTGGCCCATGCCCTGTGCAGCCATGTGGATGAACCTCAGCTCCTCTATGCCATTGAGAACAAGTACATGCCTGGTTTGCTGCGTGCTGGCTACTATGACCTGCTGATTGACATCCACCTGAGCTCCTATGCCACTGCCAGGCTCATGATGAACAACGAGTACATTGTCCCCATGACGGAGGAGACGAAGAGCATCACCCTGTTCCCTGATGAGAACAAAAAACACGGCCTTCCAGGGATCGGCCTCAGCACCTCCCTCAGGCCACGGATGCAGTTTTCCTCCCCCAGTTTTGTAAGCATTAGTAATGAATGTTACCAGTACAGTCCAGAGTTCCCACTGGACATCCTCAAGTCCAAAACCATACAGATGCTGACAGAAGCTGTTAAAGAGGGCAGTCTTCATGCCCGGGACCCAGTTGGAGGGACTACTGAATTCCTCTTTGTACCTCTCATCAAGCTTTTCTATACCCTGCTGATCATGGGCATCTTTCACAACGAGGACTTGAAGCACATCTTGCAGTTGATTGAGCCCAGTGTGTTTAAAGAAGCTGCCACTCCGGAGGAGGAGAGTGACACGCTGGAGAAAGAGCTCAGTGTGGACGATGCAAAGCTGCAAGGAGCTGGTGAGGAAGAAGCCAAGGGGGGCAAGCGGCCCAAGGAAGGCCTGCTCCAAATGAAACTGCCAGAGCCAGTTAAATTGCAGGTAATCAGAACAAGAGACTTGAGTGAATTTCAGAATTGCTAAGCATTAAGGTATTAGAACATGCCTTTGTTTCTTTCTCTGTGTGTGTGTTTATTTCTTTGCATTCCTGTGTAATGGTAGTTCTTCATAAAATTAACTAACTTCCTATTCTTTTCCCTCTTATTCATTAGCCATCTCCTCTTGTTTCCCAGATGCTTTTTACCTTCATTACATTGGAATACCTGAAATACAAGCCATCAAATACCCCTTTCCACCCATATTTCCACTCTTACCAACCTTAGAATACTTGTTTACCAGTAGATGCACCCATTGTCACATAGCAAGGTTTTACTTTCCCCTAGTATGCTTTTGTTTTGTTCTTTTGAGACAGGGTCTCACTCAGTCACCCAGGCTGGAGTGCAGTGGTGGTGCAATCATAGCTCACTGCAGCCTAGAACTCCTGGGCTCAAGCCATCCTCCCACCTCAGCTTCTACAGCAGCTGGGACTGTAGGTATGCCACCATGCCCAGTTAATTTTTTTTTATTTTTAGTCGAAATGAGGTCTCGCTCTATTGCCCATGCTGGTGTCAAACTCCTGGACTCAAGTGTTCCTCACTCCTCATGCTCCCAAAATGCTAGGATTACAAGTGTAAGCCACTGCACCCAGCCACCTTAGTATGTTTTTAAGGAATCAGACACACTGGCTGTCTTTATGCTCCTCAAGATGTCTAAAGGGTCCTTTATTAATGTCTCCTCTGTTTATTAAAGTCAATTGGATGTTTGCATCGCTGACCTGCTTTTTTGCTCCTCGTTCCTTTAGTCAGCGTTGACTGAAGCCTTACTCTGGGTATGCACTTAGGGGAAACACAAGTGAACCCTGCCTTTCAGAATCTCACAGCCTCTAAGGAAATATACACTCATTTATGCATTAAAAAATCTTATTGCTAATTGCATTAAATACTCTGAAGGCAAAGAATGGATTACTAAAAGAAAGAACATTTAGACTGGATTACTGTTAGAAAGATGAGGGAGAAGACCCCTCAGAGATTTTGACTTTTAAGCTGAGTTCAGATTTAAGAGTTGTGCTCAGCAGTTACAAGAAAAAGGAACAAGGCAGGGTGTTCTAGGAGCTTTCCATGCAAAACAAATAGCCCAGCAAAGGTCCTGAGGCAGGAAAAGGCCAGTGTGGCTGCTGGTAGGAAAATCGATAAGGGAGGAAAGAGAGTGTGATCTAGTGTCTGGTTAGTCAGGAGGCTTTCTTGCTGGTCCAAACTCTAGGAGACCATGCTCAGAGGAGGGTGGGGCAAAGGAGATGGAGAAAAGGGGTTGGACACTGTGACTACTTCAGAGACAGCACTGATAGAAATGGTTATATTGTAGATGGTGACACAGAGGGTTTTAAGGTCCTCTTTGACACTGTCATGTATTTATATCACAATTGGTATTGAGTGTATAGATTTTTTTAAAAATTTGGCAGAGCATTCTCTCTTAGAAATGTTTCTACCAACATACTCACTCAGTTATAAATCCTTTTGGTTTTCAGTAGGAGAAAGACCCAGCTAATCACTGAATGAATGAGCATTCACCACTTAATTGTCTTAAGTTTAGATTTCTAGAATTGGTACAGCAGTTCAATGATCTCATCCATAACCCAGATCTTAATATTTTTCTGCTCTGTGATCCTCAGCCTGTGGTTTTCTTCCTAAAATGCTCACCTTATTCTTTCTGCAGTAATCATGTCATCACCCAGTTACACTCATTTTGAAAGAAGGGAACTCTAGTCTCTTATCACTGATGGAATAACTTTCCCAGAAGACCCTTAGCAAACTTTCCCTTATATATTTCATTGGCCATTGCACCTGTGGCTGAAAGGGAGGCTGGGAGGGTAAGTGTATTAGTTCGTTCTCACACTGCTAATAAAGACATACCTGAGACTGAGTAATTTATAAAGGGAAAAGGTTTAATGGACTCACAGTTCCACATGGCTGGGGAGGCCTCACAATCCTGGCGAAAGGCAAATGAGGAGCAAAGTCACATCTTACATGGTGGCAGGCAAGAGGGCATGTGCAGGGGAACTTCCATTTATAAAACCATCAGATCTTGTGAGACTTATTCACTACCACGAGAACAGCATGGGGGAAGACACCCTCATGATTCAGTTATCTCCACCCAGCCCCGCCCTTGACATGTGGGGGTTATTACAATTCAAGGTGAGATTTCATGGGGAAAGAACCAGACCATATCAGTTAACATCCACTAAAGGGACATTTGTTTGCCATTTTTGCTTATACAAATTATGTTTCATCTCCTGGGACCGAGCACATTGCTGCCTATACAAAATCAGGATTCTGTTTCTAAGAGAGAAGAGTAGGCAACTAAGGATGTTTACCACAGATTATGATTTCATACACATTATTAAAGGATTTAGAAATTAAATTTGGTGTCTTTTTAATGGTCTCTTAGATGTGCCTACTGCTTCAGTACCTCTGTGACTGCCAGGTCCGGCACCGGATAGAAGCCATTGTAGCCTTTTCAGATGATTTTGTGGCTAAGCTCCAAGACAATCAACGTTTCCGATACAACGAAGTCATGCAAGCCTTAAACATGTCAGCTGCACTCACAGCCAGGAAGACAAAGGAATTTAGATCACCACCTCAAGAACAGGTACAGAAATGAAATGAAAATTCTTCGTATTTATGTTGGCTTTTAGTCATTCAGGATCTCTGCCTTGCAAAATTATATAACTCACACGTCTTGTTTTCCTTGTTCTGTTTAAAGTCTTCAAGTTGATTTAGTTAGTATTCTTAGTTTCACCAAAAGAATTTCTTTGGTTAGTTTACACAAAAGAGGGACTTATTAGAAGATATCAGGTATATCACCGACTCTTTGAGAAGGCCAAGATATGCCAGAGTCTGAAGTTCTTCAAATAGGAGCAAATTTCAACCACAAATGGGTCTTCATCATCTTCCACTCATAGGAATTTTTGATTCCTAGGACTCGATGCTAGAGGCTTTCCATTTGTGCCTACCATAGAAGAAACACATGTCTCTTCCACCTTGCTTGCCGGAAGACTGATTACCTGCTTGTGGTTTCTTCCTTTCATTGCTTACCCCCAAAGTCAGGTCTCCTGAGGGTACAACAGAACAAAGGGAACCTGCCTATATCAGAGAATGGGCTAGTTGGGGGATGTAAATTTTCTGGAATCTACCTCAGAGTGGGCCTCAGAGTGTGGGAAGTTACTGGCGTAGGGATGGTGTTAAACAATGTAATTCACAGATGTCTTTTTTGATTTCTTACCCTTACCATTTTCTTCTCTATCCAGGGTAGCTCAGAATGAAAGTGTTTATAGGGACTAATTACAGAATTTTTTTTTTTCTCACCAGAATGTAATTTCTTTGAGGAAAGGGATGTGGAATTTTCTTAATTGTTATAAACAGCATTTATTGAGCAGAGAACAGGTCCAGCCTCTTCCAGATTAACTCTGTTAAACTACTGTTGGGAAACTTCTGCTTCTGGAAAGATGGAGTACATGTGCTTTTCCCGATTCTTCCTTTTAAGTACAACTAAAACCCTGGACATTACAAAGAAGACAACATAAGAAGGCTCTGAAAGATAGAGAGAAGAAGAGAGGTTGGCTACAGAACTCAGGACCCAAGGAACAACATGGTGGTGAGTTCCCTGGATTTTCTTTTTGCCTCATCTATCCCAGATTTGAAGCTAAAGAAGACGACAACCAGGAAACACCAATGGGCATAGACAAGAAAAGCTGCAACAAAAGCCTCCTCTTTCTAGATAAAGGATCAGGGAAGGGGCAGCTTAGCAAGACAGAAATGTGTTAGATAATAACTGCACTACTGAAGCCAAAAACCACAGAAAAAACTGTTCCCCACCCACACTGGGCACAGGCTGAGTGGGGAACCTTGACTTCCACTCTCACCAGGCTGTAACAAGGTGTCCCAGTAGAGGACAGAGCTGGGACTTTATCCCCGCTGAGTAGTAACAAGGCCCATTTCTTCCAAAGTATCAGTAGAGGTTATGGAAGGAGAAGTAGCAAGACACTCTTACCTTTCTAGCAAGGTTCACATCAGTACAGGTCTAATGAGGAACCAGAACTTTTTACCACTGCCCAACAGTAACAGGGTCCCTTCCCTCCTCCAGATGTCCAAGAAGGCTGAGTGGGAAAATGGACTTCGCCTCCCACCTGGCAGCAATAAGATACCCTAAGCCCTTCTCCTGCTGGATGGGGTCAGAGGAAACCAGGTGAAACAGAGTTAAAAATAAGACCCAGAGCTCCTAGCATAATCCTCAAAATGTTGAGATTTCAATTAAAAATCATGTGTGTGAAGAACCAAGGAAAACTTGAATGAAAAAACCAATCAATAAGCACCAACACTGAGATAACAAAGATGTTAAAATTATCTGATGAAGTTTTGAAAGCAATCGCCCTGTAATTCCTTCAAAATGGAAAAGAAATAGAAAGCCTCAACGGCAGAGAAACAAAATATATGGCAAAGAACCAAATGGAAATTTTAAATCTGAAAAATATAATCACTGAAATTTTAAAACTCAATGAATAGGCTTAAAAGCAGAATGAAGGGAGAAGAAGGAACAATCAGTGAACTGAAGAGAGGGTGATATCAACTACCCCATCTGAAGAAAAGATGAAGATGAATATAACAAAAGATCTAACATTTGTGATGTTGGAGTCTCAGAGGATAGGAGAAAGAGGGTGAACTGAAGAAAATAATGCTGAAAACTTTTCAAGTTCAGTAAAAGATATGAAGTGAGAGATTCAAGAAGATGAGTACATTCCGTATAGGATAAACATAAATCTTTACCGAGACACATCATAGTCAAATTTCTGAAAAAATTAAAGACGGAGTCTTTAAAGAAATGACACTACCTACAGGGGGAGAAACAATTTGAGTGACAGCAGATTTCTCATTAGAAAGTATGGAGGGCAGAAGGAAGTGGCACAGCAATTTTCAAATGCTGAAAGAAGAGACGATCACCTCAGAGTTCTATGTACTTTGAAAATACTCTTAAGGAACGAAGGGGAAATCAAGACATTCTCAAATGACAGGAAGTTGTAAGAATTTGACTACAGCAGACCTACCCTAAAAGAATGCTAAAGGAAGTTCTTTAAATATAAGGAAAATGAAAAATGAAGGAAATTTGGAAAATTCAGAAAGGAAGAAATTAACACTGGGTAATGTTGTAATATGGTGAATGCAGTGCATTTTTATTCTCTGGAGTTTTCTAATTTATGATTGATGGTTGAAGCAAAAATCATAAAACTGATGTGTTTCTAAATATATGTATAGGGAATATTTAAAAATTATAAACAGAGGAGAATAAAGGAACAGAAAGGGAGATAAGGTTTCTATCCTTCACTCAAACTGAAGTCTACTGGTGTTGACATTGTACCATCTGGTGCACCGTCAATACCAGTAGACTGTATGTTAGGTATGTATATAAAATAATACTCAGAGCAAGCACTAGAAAAGCTGTACAAAGAGATACACTGAGAAGTACCACAGATAAAATAGGATTCTAAATATTGTTCAAGTAATGCATAGCATAGCAAGTCAGTAAAAATAAATCAGAACAAACGGAACCACAGGTGAAATGACAGACTGAAGTCATAGCATATCAATAATCTAAATATACCAATTACAAGAAATTGGCAGAGTGAATTTATAAAACTCAATCTAACTATATGCTTGCTATGAGAAACTCACTTCAAATATAATAATGTATACAGATTAAAAGGGAAAAGTTAAAGGAATATGTATTATTAAAATATTAATCAAAATAAAGCAGGAGTAGCTATGTTACATAAAGTTGACTTCAGAGCACAGAAAATTACCAAGGAGATAAGGATCATACATAATGGTCAGTCCACCAAGAAGATAAATATATATGAATTAAACAACAAAGCAAAATATGTGAAGCCAAAACTGATAGAACTGAAAGGAGAAATAGACAAATCCAAAATTATCTTGCAGAATTCAAGACTCCTCTCTCAGTTGATAGAACAGCTGAACAGAAAAATCAGCTATGACACGGAAAAACTCCACACTATCATCAAATAATAGATCTACCAAGGTTTGTAGACTACTCCACCCAACGACAAGGTACACACTCTTTTCAAGTGTTCATGAAACATTTGCTAAGATGGAACATATCCTGGGCCATAAAATAACCTCAAGACATTTTTAAAAGTTGAAATCATACACATTTTTTTATCACATTGTTATCAAATTAGAAAGCAGTAACAGAAAGGTAACTGGAAAATCTCCAAACTCTTAGAGATACTAAACAACACACTTCTAAATAATCTATGGTTTGAGGAAGTATGGGGAGAAATTTAAAGATTCATTAAACTAAAAGAAATTGGACACATCACATTTGAAAATTTTTGCCACAGCTAAAGCAAGGCCAAGAGGGAAATTTCTAACACTCAATGCTTACATTTAAAAAGCGGAAACCACTCAGATCAATAACCTGACCTGCCACTTCAAGAATTTTGAAAACAAAGAGTAAAATAAACCTAAAGCAAGCAGAAAGAAGTCACTAATGTAGATAATAACAGAAAGTAATGAAACTGAAAACAGGACAATAGAAAAAATGGATCCAAAAGCTGGTTTTTAAAAAATAGCAATAAAGTTGACAAACCTCTAAAACAACTGAAAAAGAAAAAGAGAAGATACAAATTACCCATACCAGGAATGAAACTACTTATCATGGCACACCCTGCTGACGTCAGGTGATAACATGGGATTTTTTTCTTCTCACCTTTGAAATAACGATAAGTAGATGAGCTGATGAATATGTTAATTATCTTGATTTAATCTTTCTACAATGTATACATATATCGAAACATCACATGGTACCTCATAAATACATACAATTAATATTTACCAATTAAATATGTTTTAAAGGATCGTATGGGAATACATGCATACATACTATATGATTCCATTTATGTAACATTCTTGCAATGACAAAACCATAGAGATGGAAAACAAATTTGTGGTTGCCACGACTTAAGGATGAGGGGCAGACAGAGGGATGTGGGTGTGCTCATGAAAAGGTAACAGGAGGGATCTTTGAGATAAAGGAATTATCCTCTATTTTGACTGCACTAATGTTGCTATCCTGGTTATGAGATTGTACTACAGTTTTGCAAAGTGTTACCAATCGGGAAACTGCATAAAGCGTACTTGAAGTCTCTCTGTATTATTTCTTACAATAGCATATAAGTCTATAATTATATCAAAATAAACGTTTAGGGAAAAAAAATCACATAAATGCCAAAAAGAAAATCTAAAATAGTTTCTTAAAGGAAAATTATGGGAAAGCATCTTTCTCTTCCGAATTTATAAATTTAATAGTATTGTTCAAACATAAATGGTAAAGTTTCCCGCAGTTTAACTGAACCATTAATGTTAGCAGCGCGTAGTTATCCCTTATAAAGATTAACCATGCCGAATATGAAAATTCAAAACCCAGAATACTCCAAAATCCAAAACATTTTGAGCACTGAAATGATACCACAAGTGGAAAATTCTACACGTAAATACTTAGTACAAAGTTTATTTCATGCACAAAATTATTTAAAATATTTTATAAAATTTCCTTCAGGCTATGTGTGTAAGGTGTGTATGAAACATAGATGAATTTCATTTTTAGACTTGGGTTCTATTCTCAAAATAGCTCATGTGTATGCAGATGGAGCTGGTCCTCTCTATCTGTGGGTTCTGCATCTATGGATTCAACCAACTGTATATTGAAAATATTCAGAAAAATTCCACAAAGTTCCAAAGCACAAAACTTGAATTTGCTGTGCACCAAGTACTATGTCTAATCCACTTAAATGAAGTGATATGTCAGCACTGCCTTGGGTATTATAAGTAATTTAGAGATGATTTAAAATATATGAGAGGATATACATAGGTTATATGCAATTTCTGTGCCATTTCATATAGAAGACTTGATTGTCTGTGGCTTTTCATCTCTATGGAGGGTCCTGGAACCAATACTCCATGGATACTAAAGGATGATTGTATTCCAAACTCTGAAAAAGAAATCCTAGATCTGAAACACTTCCGGCCCCAAGCATTTCAGATAAGGGATACTCAAACCTGTGTTACTTTTCAATTATATTTTTCCTTCTTATTTGTGTCTGTGTTCTTCTCAAAAAGAGTTCTTGTAAATATTCAATGAATGTTCAATAGAGATGTTAGCTAGAAAATAATGGAAATTTAGGATAAGCATGATACAATACTTTTTAAAAATAGCATTTAGATCTCTTAGTTATGAATTCTTAAAGTATACAAGAGTCTGACATATTGTGGACTTGAGAAAGAGGAAGAAACGTTATATGACTATTTTGCAGCTTGTTAAGCTATGGATGATTTGATTTATTCTGCGGTACTGGTTGGATTGTGTGATGGACACCTGTGGAGGAATAATTTATGAACAATCAGAGATTTTGAGCATTTTTGCTTTTGTGGTAGTTGTGCCTTTCTTTGTTTCTTTCTTTCTTTCTTTCTTTCTTTTTTTTTTTTTTTTTTTTTTTTTGAGACAAAGTCTCACTGTGTCGCCGCCCAGGCTGGAGTGTAGTGGCACAATCTCGGCTCACTGCAACCTCCACCTCCCAGGTTCAAACAATTCTACTGCCTCAGCCTCCTGAGTAGCTGGGACTACAGGCATGCACCACCACACCCAACTAATTTTTGTATCTTTAGTAGAGATGGGTTTTCACCATGTTGGCCAGGCTGGTCTCAAAATCCTGACCTCGTGATCTGCCCACCTCAGCCTCCCAGAGTGCTGGGATTACAGGCATGAGCCACTCCGCCCGGCCCTGCTGTGCCATTCTTGAATTCACCTTTCTTTTCTTCCTCCTTCTTCCTCTTTCTTGTTTTTCAAACTTTCAGATCAATATGCTTCTCAATTTTAAGGATGACAAAAGTGAATGTCCATGTCCAGAAGAAATTCGTGACCAACTATTGGATTTCCATGAAGATTTGATGACACATTGTGGTAAGGTCTTTTTGATTAAAAGCTTTTATTAATTGTATGTTTTTAATCCATATATCCTGAGACGAAATTAAGTGTATATGCGAATATTTTCACGAATACACACGATACCTGTTAGAAAGTTATATAAAAACATTTATTATTATGGCAAAATGGCAAAATAACTGTCCCTATGTGGGGAGTCCTGAGGGATAGAGAAATCAGAGAGGCAGTTAAACTGAGCAGAAGATGACCAAAATTCTTTCTCTCTTTTTCCTCTTTCCATTAGTGGCAGGAAATGGGAAGGGGGACATGTGGCCAGGTGCCTCTGGCAGGGAGGTTAAGGTTGGTTTAGTCAATGGGTACAAAGTTTCGGTTATACAAGATGAATGAATTCTGGAGATCCATGGCACAACAGGGTGCTTCTAGTTCACAATACTGTATTGTGCACTTAAAATTCTGTTAAGAGGGTAGATGTCATGTTAAGTATTCTTAAAACAACAACAAACAAACAAAACCCCCCAAAACAAAGAAGTGCTAAGAAACTTAGAGGTGATGGATTTATGTCTGTTCCTGGTGGTGGTGATGGTTTCACAGATGGATGCATGTGTCCAAGCTCATATTGCATAGATAAAATATGTACAGTTTTGTTTATAGTAACCTCAATGAAGCTGTTTTTTCCTCATGTAAGAAAGAAATTTGATCACAAACAGTTGTATTTAAAGCAGTTGAGGGTGTACTTTCTAGAAAATGTAGACTATATCTTTTGAAATTAGTGAATGCCTATGGAAACCCTACATTAAGTTGTTATGTCAGTAATCCAAATCTGTTAAGGGAAGTCTCCCCTCCTTTTATTCTAAGAACTTTAAAAATGGAATTGATTAGGTATTCTGGACGTGTGTGTGTTTTTATTCCTTTATGCAGTGGTGTGGATAAGGTCTGATGATTCAATGAAAGAAAATGAACCAGCTGTTTTTAAAGTTATAGATAAAAATAATGCCACTGGTTTAACCGGTGGTTATCTTATTTTAATGAAGATAATAAAAACACCACTTTGCATATTAATTTGGTTTATGAATGAAGTACCACTAAATGACTCCCAGAAAATTATACTACATGTGTGTGTACATGTATGTGTGTGTATATATATATATTTCTACAAATATCCCTTGTAGAAATGTGTATGTATGTGTGTGTATATATATATTTTTTTTTTTCTACAAGTATCCCTGTATTTCTAGTATCCCTACAAATACAGGGATACTAGAATTCTAGTATCCCTACAAATACAGGGATACTTTAAAACTTTAGAATTACTGCTTCAGATATAAAGCATTCCCTGGTTTAGGGTACCTAATTATGCCTGTTCTCTCTGTTTCTCAACTAACCAAAATACTGCTAAAATTTTTGGAGGCAAGAGAGGAGAATTAAAGTCTGTGGGGCATGGTGTAGGCAGGGCTGGACTGTAAGTCTAGGCAGACAGTATCTGAAGTCCGAGATGCCCAAGGGTTAGCCCAAATAGCAGAATTGATCTTTGCCCCTAAGAGAGTCTTTTTGGTCTCTACTCAGTGTTATATTTTGTTCTGGGTGACAGCCCTGAGCCCACAGGAATAGAACAAAAAGAGAGAGGAAGAAAAGAGGCTGACCAGTGAATGTTATTTATGAGGGCTGGTAAGCAACATTGCTTAACTTAATGTTAGATGTTTTTGACATTGTTCTAAGTTGTGCATGAAAGAAATTACAAGGCCTCAGAATTATTTGCCCAAGTGTATTCTTTAAATATTTTTTTCTGCCTCTCTGTTTTTTTATACTAGGAATTGAGCTGGATGAAGATGGGTCTCTGGATGGAAACAGTGATTTAACAATTAGAGGGCGTCTGCTATCCCTGGTAGAAAAGGTGACATATCTGAAGAAGAAGCAAGCAGAAAAACCAGTTGAGAGTGACTCCAAAAAGTCCTGTAAGCAGTATGAGAGTGCACTGGCAGAATGACCCAACTGCTGACACTTAACTCATCCTTTGAACGAATGTTTTACTGGATGAGCCAGTGAGATAATTGAGTTTGCAACTTCCAAGAATCAGACTCTTAAGTAGATGCCTGTAGCTCCCAGAAATAAACAGCAGCATCAGTCTATGTGTATAGCAACAGACTGAGAGGTAGCAGCATGATAAAGATGGATGGTCTCCATAGAGAACTAGAAATTTAGGTATTTTATCAGAGACCATAAAGAGAAAGTTAAAAGGAAGTATAGTAATTTAGCCTTCATATCTAAATATGAGGTCGATTTTCAAATATTATTGCATCAAATTAAACTTTTTTCTTAAAATTTAAACAGATATTGTCTTTATATTTTGGTTCTGAAATATTTCCTCAACTGTTGTATACTTCTGGTTGATCCATATCCTATTTCAGAATAATAAGCACCCTTGGGCTGTGAGTGCCTTGGGCACAGCACTCTGAGTAGGTCTGAGGGATCCAGCCTACTTTTTACTTCACTTCTAAGACTGTATTGATTTTAAGATGCAGCAATGGTTTGTTAATAGCTTTCCCTGAAATAAAAAAAAATAAACTTACGAAAACTTTTACAGCACTTTTTTTTGACTTACAACAGAAAACCTTTATTCATACAGTTACTTCTAAATTTATTTTTCAGTGTCACAATCACAAATTTGAGTCAAGTTTTCTTTAAAATCAGAGTTCAGTGTTTCTTTCTTTTCTTTTTCTTTTTCTTTTTCTTTTTTTTTTTTTTTTTTTTTTTTTTTTTTTGAGACAGTCTCGCTCCATCACCCAGGCTGGAGTGCAGTGGTGCATTTTCGGCTTACTGCAACCTCTGCTTCCCTGTCTCAGCCTCCTGAGTAGCTGGAATTACAGGCATGCACCAAGACGCCTGATTAGTTTTTATATTTTTAGTAGAGACTGAGTTTTACCATGATGGCCAGGCTGGTGTTGAACTCCTGGTCTCAAGCAATCCATCCACCTCAGATTCCCAAGTGCTGGGATTATAGGAGTGAGCCACTGTGCATGGCCAGAGTTCAACGTTTCTTATGAATCACTTTCTATTATTATCAAGTTTATGATCTTGAGTGGTTAAAATGACAGTGTGGTTTTCAGATATAGGGGAATATATTGGCATTTTATTTGCATTTTGTATTTGGTTAAAAATGGTAGTTTTTGTTTTTGCTTAAATAATTTCTAGATGAAAGTAAAACAGCCTAATTTGAAAGTCAGCCAGCATATTAATACTAGGATTAAGTGCCTCATCGTGCATAAATTGGTCACCCCACTTAATTTTGGTAATTTCACTGTTTATTTGAAAAGATTTGGACTTTTCTATTGCTTTTACATTTACTATGTTTCATGTTACATTGCAAAGTAATTTTCTGTGTATGTAGTAACTTTTCGCTTTAATATAAATTCACAATCAAATCCTTTTGAAGACATTTTAAATGACAAATATGGATACAACTTTAAGTGAAAACATAATTATACGTAGTCACTAGTGCAAATGACTCAACTGAGGAGACAGTTGGATAAGCATACCTTTTTGAATGTCCGTGACCGAACTTTATAAGGATAAATGATGTCAGGCCTTCTGGGAAGAAAATAATAGAACAAAACAAATAAAAGTAGTAGGACACCTTATATTAATTGCCATACCTTCAATTACATATGAATTGCCAATGGTAATTTTGAAAAAGTGATATAACTGTAGCTTATTTAATTATAAGAATGATTTTTAAAGAAAGGTTTGTGTTTTTTATCTTTGCATGATTGTAACTGATCTGTATTGAAATATGTATCATCCAATGAAGGTTATTTTCTTCAAAGAATATCTAGAGCCTTTTCAAGCCTGGTACAAATAGAAATACCAATTTGGGGGTACAGGATATGGACTTGAAATGTCCAACTGATTTGTCTTCTCTTATTTTTCTTTTAAAAAATATCCATAATGACTTTGCAGCCACTCTGCAGCAGCTGATTTCTGAGACCATGGTCCGATGGGCTCAGGAGTCTGTCATTGAAGACCCCGAGCTGGTGAGGGCCATGTTTGTGTTGCTCCATCGGCAGTATGACGGCATTGGGGGTCTTGTTCGGGCCCTGCCAAAGACCTACACGATAAATGGTGTGTCCGTGGAGGACACCATCAACCTGCTGGCATCCCTTGGTCAGATTCGGTCCCTGCTGAGTGTGAGAATGGGCAAAGAAGAAGAGAAGCTCATGATTCGTGGATTAGGGTAAATTATTTAACTACTACAACCCTTTGTCTCGTAAATGTTTTCTAATTGTTATACCTATAGAGCAGTACATTAACTACATTGATAAAAATATATTGTCTGGATTATACGATTATTATACTAAATAGCTTTTCTTTTTTTTATTTATTATTATCATACTTTAAGTTTTATGGTACATGTGCACAATGTGCAGGTTAGTTACATATGTATACATGTGCCATGCTGGTGCGCTGCACCCACTAACTCGTCATTTAGCATTAGGTATATCTCCTAATGCTATCCCTCCCCCCTCCCCCCACCCCACAACAGTCCCCAGAGTCTGATGTTCCCCTTCCTGTGTCCATGTGTTCACATTGTTCAATTCCCACCTATGAGTGAGAATATGCGGTGTTTGGTTTTTTGTTCTTGCGATAGTTTACTGAGAATGATGATTTCCAATTTCATCCATGTCCCTACAAAGGACATGAACTCATCATTTTTTATGGCTGCATAGTATTCCATGGTGTATATGTGCCACATTTTAGAGATAGAAACAAAAGCTAAGTTAGAAAGTTGCTCAGTAATGAAACAAGACTAATTTTACAGTGTGGCACACAGCCAATATCTTTCAGTGTTTTTTTTTAAGTCTCATAGTAATGTACAATAATATATAAAAACATAGGACAGTAAAAACACATTGATCCATAGGTCTGTGTGGTGTTTAATACATTAAAAAAATAAAAAAACACATTGAAATCCAAGGTGGGTAGTTGGAAATATGAACAGGAAATGATAAGGAAGCTTGTCTTTATCTATTGGGCCTTGGAAAAAGAAGGGGTAGGGGGAACAAATTTTCTGAGAATTCAGCATCATGAGCTTGCATTTCATGTGGATTTGGGGGTTAAAGTTAACACCCCATATTCAAGAGTGAGGATAAAACAAAGATATTTCAGAATATTTACTTACAGTCCCTCATTGGAAGACCTTCTAAAATTTTTATGCTAAATGTTAATATATACATTAGGGAGAAGAAAACGGAATTCAGAGAAAAAGAATGGGATGCAACACGTTTTTTTGAGTATACTACTGATTTATACATGTATAAATCTAAGCAATCATTAATAATAAGCTTATATAGTTCGGGGATTTGAAAATAAGATGGAAAAATTGCCTATTGAGTAGTGTTCGCTACTCAGGTGATGGTACAACCAAAGCCCAGGCTGTTTTTTTGTGGTACAGCAAAAGCCCAGGCTCCACCACGACACAATATATGCACGCAGGAAATCTGTATTTGCACCCCCTAAATATTTAAAATATTTTTAAAAATAATTAAAGAAAAAATAAGATGGAATCAAAATCATAACAAAGATAAAAATTATATTAAGCTCTATGATGTTCATTAAGAACAATACCTAAACATAAAAATGTAGAATTCTGGAAGATAGGATGTTAAACAGTGATTAGAAGACAAATATTTAGCAGAAAAAAAAGCTGATGTAGTTACATAGATATCAGGCAAAAGAGGAGATAATAAAGGTAACTGCTACATGAATAAAATAGACCAAAAGAAACAATAAAATTGATCAAAGAAACTTAGAGTTAATTCTTTGAAAAAAACGAATAAAATGGAATACCAAGTTTTTCTTTGACAGAACTCAAATACAATCCTGAGGGAAGAAAACAAGTGTATAATGATACAGACTGTTTCATATCATTTCTATACATTTTAACTCAGAAAACAATATTGCATATTGCTCATGGACCTATTAAGTATTTAAAATTATAAAAATGGATGAAAGGTTCTATTAAAAATTCATAATTGTTGCACACTAAAAATAAATATACTAATGGGACAGAGAGGGAAAGCAAAAAAGCCAATTGAGAAAAGCAAATATTAGAGTCTTTATAATTGTATGAGCATAGGTCTTATTTGAGTACTAATATTTAAATCTAACCCGAGGAAGCCTCTCATAAGAGGTTATCTTAATTAACCAAATGAAAAAGAAAGCCTTCCAGAAAATGGAGATCATATTCTTTCTTAACACACAACAGTAATATGTGCCATTAAAAAGTAAATCATTCATTAGTGATAAAACTCAAAATGATGTTAAAAAGCAAAATGCTTCTTTTTGTGGTATTCAAAATATTTAACACAGAGAGATTCTTAGTAAATGACAGCCTGACTGCTATTTAATTTACCTAAAACTAAAAGCAAATGAGATTTTAAAATCAAGTTACTTCATTCAAAGATTTGAATTAATGAGACAATAAAAAGAAAAAGCTGCCCTTGTTTACCTTAGTTTGTTCTGGCATGAAATAAGTCAGACCCATATTAGCCTTGGGCATCAAGTTTTTTTTCTGACCTATGCTATCTAAAAGCCCTGTTCATTAAAAATAATAAATGCAAAAATCATACTATCCCACTTTCTTGATATAGCCAGAGTAACTAAAGTTTTGCATATGACTAAATGAATAGGTGAGTAATTCAGTTAAAGGAAACTAATTTGAAGAGAAGTTTCAATTTTCTCATAGGCTGTATGTTCTATTCTTGCTCTAGATCTAACAAGAAAATGTTTTATAGAAAAGACTCTTGGCATCGATTTGATTTATGTTAAAATAGAAATCAACAGAGCTCTTTATTTGCAGTGAATGATACTTTCTCCTGAACATTATGACCCTTAGGAATACCTTGACACACATATTACAAGAATATGTAATGCAGTAATGATAATACGAGACATTTTAGGTATCACCTAACACCGTTTCTTGAAACTGGATGTCCGTTTTAATGAGTTAGATTACTTGTACCTGGACTTCATGTATACTCAGTTTCTCTTGGAGAATATGAATCCTTTTAAGTATTTGTCAGAATGATAATATGAATGCAATAAGAAATAACACTATTGTAATAATATACACAAATACTGAATGTAATACTAACAACAGCATATATAAATACTAGCAACAGCATATATATGAAAAGCAGAGATACTTATATATGAAGAATTTTTATATAAACATGGTATAACACTAATTCATATTTTTATCCAGAAGAAGGTTGGACACATGGTTGGATATCCATAAAATTAGGAATGATGTGTCCAAAGTATATTTCATTTTAACTGTTTACATTTTTACTATGTTTATTACAATGGAAAAGAATAGACATTCGTCAACCAATTTTGGTAAATTATCAATATTTTTGAGGAAAACAATTACATTCATTAATTTTTGTGGCTTATTAAATACTGTGATTGCTTTTACTTTTCAACTCACATAAATTATTTCTAAAAGATTTATGAGGAACTTGGTTAACTATTTAGATGTTGCTCTGAGCTTTACCCCATACGTCCATTGTCCTTTCTAGGGATATTATGAATAACAAAGTGTTTTACCAGCACCCTAATCTCATGAGGGCACTGGGGATGCACGAGACTGTGATGGAGGTCATGGTGAACGTCCTTGGAGGTGGAGAGTCCAAGGTAACGTCTTTGATTCCTGAGATGCTATTTAGTATCATCTCCTGGAGTATATAGATTGATATAGAATGCAGATTTTTTTTTTTTTTTTTTTTTTTTTTTTTTTTGGAGACAGAGGCTCACTCTGTCGCCCAGGCTGGAGTGCAGTGCACGATCTCGGCTCACTGCAAGCTCCGCCTCCCGGGTTCACGCCATTCTCCTGCCTCAGCCTCCCGAGGAGCTGGGATTAGAGGCGCCCGCCACCTCGCCCGGCTAATTTTTTTGTGTTTTTAGTAGAGACGGGGTTTCACTGTGTTAGCCAGGATGGTCTCGATCTCCTGACCTCGTGATCCGCCCGCCTTGGCCTCCCCTCCCGAAGTGCTGGGATTACAGGCGTGAGCCACCGCGCCCAGCCCAGATTGTAGATTCTTAATGAGAATTTCTTAAATCCTCTTAGGATGACTGTTTTTAAAGAAGACTTTTTGAAAAAAACACACAAACCTTAGGGAGTTGAACGTACTACTAGTTTTTTTTTCCTTGATTTTGATAAAAATTTCCTGTCTTATACTGTGTAATTTTTGGCCTCCTAAATTATTCTCTTTTAGGGGATATTTAGAAACTGAAGTATCTCATTTAGGGGATATTTAGAAACTTAGAAACATAAAAATTACTCTATGTGTTAATTTATTTTAAAATTTTGAATTATAATTCAGTTCTCATCACGTTACCAGTCCATGGCACAAGCATGTTCTTCAGACTCCACCATCCTCCATGACACAGACATTGGTTGGTTTCACTTAATTTCCAATCCAGATTGAGATTTGATGATAATACTCTTGGATGTATTTGTTGTAGAATTCTAAAGTGAATTCTTTTTTTTTTTTTTTTTTTTTTTGAGACGGAGTCTCAGTCTCTTGCCCAGGCTGGAGTGCAGTGGCGTGATCTCAGCTCACTGCAACCTCCGCCTCCCAGGTTCACTACATTCTCCTTCCTCAGCCTGCCGAGTGGCTGGGACTACAGGCGCCCACCACCATTCCCTGCTAATTTTTTTGGTATTTTTAGTAGAAATGGGGTTTCGCCATGTTAGCCAGGATGGTCTTGATCTCCTGACCTCATGATCTTCCTGCCTTGGCCTCCCAAAGTGCTGGGATTACAGGCGTGAGCCACCACACTGGGCCTAAAGTGAACTTTTAAGTGACCACAACTTAATGGTATCAAAAACCAAATTAGTAGAATAGTATAATAAAAAAAAACTTTATATAATCAGTATAATTTTATAACCTCTGATATGAAAATATGTTTTGATATTTTAAATCTTAGGATGTATTTTTCACAATACTGAAATAAGCCCATATTTCATATGATCAGTCTGTTTACCAGTTAGACAGGCTTAGAAGGATATCATAATATACTGTACTTTATTACAGAAGAACTCCAGAGAGTATCTGGGGTAAACTATGATAATATTTGGTCTCAAGGAAGATGTGTTTGGTGGGGTCAAACATGCAGGCCTTCCAGTCCAGGAAATCATCTCATGAGGTGCAAATCAGGGAGGTTGTAAATCCCTGGAATCAGTAATTCTACTAATATTAATACTGATAAGAACATCCTATTATATGTGCCACGTACTGAACTATATATTTTTCAGAAATCAGCTCAATGAATTCACTCCCCTGCCCCTTACCTAAAGCAAGTATTATTATCCATATTATTCTAACAGAATCAAAGAGATTGCATCATTTCCCATGGAAGCACAGCTGATAGCGGTAGTGAGGCATCACAAATGAATCTGCCTTTCACCTTTGAGAATGCAGTAATAAGTCAATTTCTGTTCTAACCCATCCATGGTAATGAAGTTTCTGAATTAGTGCCAGGCTTGATTTTCATTGACTCAGGGACGAGGCAAATCGTAGTCTGCACATTTGAAGATCTTTGGTATCTGAAGTTTGGCACACACATGGACACACGGGGATTGACGATGTGATTGAGACCTCAACGTATGAACTCAATTTTATAAAGGTCGTTTGCTTTCAGCAGCTAATGACATGCTTTATCTGTAGGAAATCACCTTTCCCAAGATGGTGGCCAACTGTTGCCGTTTTCTCTGTTACTTCTGTCGTATAAGTAGGCAGAATCAAAAAGCTATGTTTGATCATCTCAGTTATTTACTGGAAAACAGCAGTGTTGGTCTTGGTAAGTAAATGACTTTTATTTCATCTTTAAGGTTGAAATAATATAATATTACATTTAAAAAGCAAACGTTTTGTTAAAAAATGTGCAATGGACCTGAATAGACATTTCACAAAAGAAGACAGATAGTTGGCCAATAGGTATATGAAAAAATACTCGACATCACTCATCATCAGCAAAGTGCAAATTGAAACCACAGTGAGCTATCACCTCACACCTGTTAGAATGCCTATTATTGAAAAGACAAAACATAATAAGTGTTGGCGAGGGTGTGGGGAAAAGGGAACCCTTATACATGTTGGTGGGAATGTAAACACAGCCATTTTAGAAAACATTAAGGAGATTCCTCAAAAAATTAAAAATAGAACTACCATATGATCTAACAGTTTTACTTCTGGGTATATATATCCAAGGGAAATGAATAATCAGTATGTCGAAGAGATACGTGTACTTCCATGGTCATTGCAGCATTATTCACAATAGCTGAGATATGGAATCAACCTAAGTGTTCATCAGTGGATGAATGGATAGGAAAAATGTGGTACATATTCACAATGGAATGCTGTTTGGCCTTAAAAAAAGAGGGAATCCTGTCATTTTCAACAACATGGATGAACCTGGAGGATATTACATTACATGAAATAAGCTACGTGTAGAAAGACAAAAACCACATGATCTCACTTTCATGTGGACTCTAAAATCAAAGTCGAACTCATAGAAACAGAGAGTAGAATGAGGTTACCAGGTGTAGGGGGGAGTGGTTGGGGAGATGTTCAAGGATACAAAATTTCAGTTAGATAGAAGGAATAAGTTCAAAAGCTCTATTATACAGCATGGTGACTATAGTTAATAACAATGTATAATATTCTTGAAAATCGCTGCCAGAGTAGATTTTGAGTGTTTTCACCACACAAAAGTGTATGTGAGGTAATATGTATGTTAACTAGCTCAATTGAGTCATTCCACAAAGTATACATATATTTCAAAACATGTACACAATATATACAATTTTTATTTGTCAATTCAAAATACGTAAAATTAAACTTTAATGTAAATCAATGTAGATTAATACACTATGGATGGTGTTTAGAAATTAAATTTTAAGAGGTAGTATATTTTTGTATGGAGTTTATAGTTACAGCACGATCCAGGTTATATTTCATCTTCATTTGAATTAATAGCCTCCCCAGCTATGAGAGGTTCAACACCACTGGATGTGGCTGCAGCTTCGGTGATGGATAATAATGAACTAGCATTAGCTCTGCGTGAGCCGGATCTAGAAAAGGTGAGCAATGTTCCTGCCCTGTGTGTTTGTCTGAATTATGCTTTTTCACGGTTTTCTCAATATTTTAAATATAAGTAAGGTTGGTGCAGAAGTCATTGTGGTTTTGCAATGTGACATTATGGCCAAAACCGCAATTAATTTTGCACCAACACAATATGTTCTAGTGCTATTAGAATTAAAGTACATTATAATTTACATTGCACACTATATAATGTTATATATTACATTGTATATAATTCTACTATACATTATATTGTAGTTAGAAGTTATGAAGAACAATACATTTGAAAAAATGAATTTTCTCTGATGAGAAACATTTTTCTATGGAAGGAGAACCAACGTTCTGTATCTGTATTCTTATGTGTTTTTTTCTTTTCGTGATATCTGCTGCCACTTTTGACTTAATCATACACTTCAGTTTTTAAAAAGGTTATTTTGACATCTCATATGTACATTTTATATCACATATACTTTATTCCAGCACAAAGCATCAGCGATATAGTAAAGCCGTGCACTCTAAGGATACTAAGCCACACATGTGTATTACCAGCATTTAGAGAAACTTTCCCTGTATTGTAGTTGCAATAGCATTCCAAGTAGTCACCTGATTTTTTTTCCTTGCTCACCTGGCATCTGTTCTTCCCTTATCAGCCAAAGTGACCCTCTTAAAAAGATCATGCCAATCCTCCATCCAGTACTCCCCAAAGGCTTTCTATCTCACTCCCAGTAAAAATCAAAGATGTTGCAATAGCTCCTACATCATCTGTTCCTACATACCAGCCTGATTTCATCTCCTACAGCTTTCCCGCACTCTCTCTTCTTTGCTTCAGCCACCCTTGTCCCCTTGCTGTAGCTGGAACACGCCAACTGTGCTCAGCCTCAGGGCCTCTGCACCTGCTAGTCCAACCATCTGCAGTATCCTTACCCAAGATACCATCGTGGCTCTTTGTAGGCATTCTTTCAGTCAATGCTCCAAAGTCACCCTCTTGATCAGCTCTTCCACATCCATGCTGTGTAAAACTGAAACCTTTTCTCCACTTCCTTAAACTCTTCCTGTTTCCTTTACTGCTTTATTTTCAACTATTGGAAATGTAAATATTTGTATATTCTGTACACAAATATATACTTTCATTTTATTTATATTTATAGAAACTTATATTTTAAATATATATTAAGATAATTGTATGTAAAATAAATATATTTAATCAAACTCTATGTAGTTATGTATTTTTAAAAATTCATCCCCTACTATAATGTCAAGCCAGGGAGGTCAGAGTGGTTTTTCCTCTGTTGTTAACTGCTTTGTCCTGCCTTTAGAGAACAGTGTCAGCACTGGGTAGACACTTAGTGCATGGCTGTTGAAGACATGAAAGAGTGAAACTCTTCCCCAAATCCTCCTGACATACCAGTCCAGGATCATGAAGTCTTGCATCTCTGAGACACCTCAGGACATGTTTCCCCCGTATAGTACTTAAAATCTTTTAATCTACACACTCATTAAAATGGCCAATACTAATGCAGTTGATAATACCAAATGCTGAGAAGGACAAGGAGCAGCTAGAACTCTCTTCTACTTCTGTTGTGATGAGTAATGGTACAGCCAGTGTGGAAAGCAGTTTGGCAGTTCCTTAACAAATTAAACATACACCTACCATAAACTATATGCCTAGCCTTTCCACTGCTAACAATTTACCCAGTAGAAAGGAAAATATATGTCCACACAAAGACTTGGGCATGAATGTTTCTAACAGCTTTATTCGTCATAGCCAAAAAGTGCAAACAACTTGAATACCGACCATCAATGTATTAGTTGATAAATAACACTGTGATATACCCATATACGGTGAAATGTCATCCCACAATAAAAAAGAATGAATTGCTGACATATGCTACAGTGTGAATGAATCCCAAAATCATATGCTGAGCGAAAGAAGCCAGGCACAGAAAGATATATGCTGCATGGTTATGTGTACAAGTGTCCTAGAAAATGCAAGCTAAATTGTAGTGAGAGAAAACCGATTGTCTGGGACTAGGTGTGTGGGGAGAAAGGGACTGCAAAGGGCCCAGGGAGCTCTGAGGAGTGACGGCCATGTTCTGCGTCTTGATTATGGTGTGTTCTCACAGATGTCTACATCTCTCAAAGCTCATTGAATTTATACTTCAAAGAGATGAGTTTATTGCACATTGGTTCTCTTGCTTCACTATAGTTGATATAAAACATTTTTAGCTATATTATTATTTATATTTGAAACTGATTTAACTTAAGCTGGATATAACTCAATTTGCTTGATAAGTTGCTCCTCTGTCAGTCTTACTTCCATTGATAATGACTTTTCTAAGGATTTCTTTTAAAATTGAATTTCTTGTGAAATATTGTAGAGGACTAACATTCGTATAAAACAAAAATATTTTAAGAGGAAAGGCCAGGCAAAAATATGTTATGTGCTAATTTCATCAATACTGAAAAGTGGGTCATCTTATCAAAAATTTCCTGAACACTGAAACCTTGGCTAAAAAAGTAAAAGTAACTGCTCAAAATAAGGTGTTTGCTAAATGCTGTGTGTCTGATTTGAACCAAGGATGTTTGACTGTGATCTTAGGTTTTTCTCTACGTATTTTCTCACACCTGCTTCCCCATTAAATTGATATATCATTTTGGAAACAATTTCTCTTTAAAATATCTTTGCATCTCATATAGATCTTTTAATATCTTGAGTGGATTCAGTTTTTACATTGCACCAGAGGTCATTAGACATGTTTGCAATTTATGACTTTGATAGATAAGGGTCTCAAGTTAAATGCTATTAAATTCAGAAACATTCTTCTTTCGTAGTTTTACACATAATCCTGCAGCTCTTGGCCCACCCAGACAGACTTGGTTGCCCTGTCTGACAAGGAATTGCGGGTGGATTTATACAGCAGGCACTGTGGGTGATTGTGGGTAGATGAAAACAGAAGGCACCGCGGGCTGAGGCTGCTGCTTTATTGTCTCCAAAGTGTTTAAGGAGATGGTGCAAATAAAACAGCAACTGGTTCTAGTCCGTGAGTCTTGAGCCCTGGGCAGATATGTTTGTGGCATTTATTAAAAAGAATGTCTGCTTAGAGAGAGCTGAAAAAAAAAAAGCTTATAGTAGGATCATAAATATTTTTATTATGATGCCATTTTATGACGATATTTAAATATTTCTAAAGTCTAAGGTTTTACTAAAGGGAGTTCAAGTAGATTATCATGAGAGCAAAAAGAATTTGCAAAAATGCATTTGTTTAAAAGCATCCTTTAAGGATGTCATTTATTGTATCCAATGTAAGCATCTAATGAGTTTTCAGCCAAGGGATAACTCTTTGTTAATCATGTTGTTTGCAGGTAGTTCGTTATTTGGCTGGTTGTGGACTGCAAAGTTGCCAGATGCTGGTGTCTAAGGGCTATCCAGACATTGGGTGGAACCCAGTTGAAGGAGAGAGATATCTTGACTTTCTTAGATTTGCTGTCTTCTGTAATGGTAGGACTTGATTTCTTGAGGTCTTTTGAGTTATCATTAAAACTGCATAGAGATATAATAAGGATTCATCTCAGCACTTTCATGAAGGAAGTATTAGTAAAGAAATCACATATTTTATAATCGATAGGGGTTTTTCACAGTAACCACTTATAATACAATATTTGTTTACATACTTCTTTCCTTATTTAAATTAAAATTTTTAGGCATCTAAGTTCTCCTAAATTTTTTATTTTGAATTCTAATAATAGTTTGGATTATGACATCATTCTATAATAATAACAAGTTAGTGAGAATCAATAGTTTATGCCTCCATAATGCTTTACTCTGAAAATTTTTAATGCAAGCAAAATTTACTGTGTCTCATATACTTAATGCTAGCAATTAGGATTACATTTTGGCTTTATTAGTATATTGTTGGGTTTTAGTTATTCTTATACATAGGAAATGATTAGTATAACATTTATTTGTTCAGAACTTCCATATAATCATATTTGTTTACTTATCTTCCCCATTCTACTTTAGGGGAGAGTGTGGAGGAAAATGCAAATGTCGTGGTGAGATTGCTCATTCGGAGGCCTGAGTGTTTTGGTCCTGCTTTGAGAGGAGAAGGTGGGAATGGGCTTCTTGCAGCAATGGAAGAAGCCATCAAAATCGCCGAGGATCCTTCCCGAGATGGTCCCTCACCAAATAGCGGATCCAGTAAAACACTGTAGGTCTAATATACACACCCTCACGAGTGATCCATACTACTTGATGTGAAATTTTATAAAATATATTCTGCATCCTATGAATTGTAATATAACTTGTGGTACAGAAGATTTCTCCCTTTGAAAATATAATGTCTTAGATTTGGAAGAATGAATGGAATTTGGTGCTGGAATAGGTCGAATGAACAAAGAGAGCTGAAGAAGATGGTGTAGATTTAGCAGAGGGAAATTTAGGTTGTAGAAGATGCATCTTATGAATTTTCCTAGGGGAGCTAGGGCAAGGTGGGTTGTTGTAAATGATACGAAGTGAACCTTTGGGGTTAGACTGGAGTTTAGTGGGAAGGTAGTTAGAATGAGATTTTATGATTAGAAAGAGACCTTTCGCAAATGAAAGGGGGACTTGACTAAACTGTTATGGTGGTAAAACCTAGAAAAGGTTTCATTCTGAGGAGTGTGATGCTTTGTTGAGGTACAGAAGACAGATACGAGAAGCAGTCACTATCTTACATTTATCTGTAGGTATACGTTGTTAATACTAGAGTCCAGTCATCGACATAAGTAAATCCAGGTGTGATGCTTATCTGTGTAGGTGAATGTCCTCCAGCGGGGTCATGCATCCACACTGCTAGTGCCTCTGGTAAAGATGTAACATAGGGCTTTATTGAGGCACATTTCTAAAGAAAAAAAAGAGTTAGAGGGCACGCAATCCTGCAAACCCTTTGTCTTTTACATATAAACTGGGCATAGATGTTCCATGTACACCATAGCCGGATTTGCAGACTGGGAGCACTCCTAGAGCAAGAATGAGCACTCCCCACCACACACACACACACCATGCTACATGCTTATCAGTTTCCCATGAAGGAACCAGGGAGCTCTTAGGTTCTCTCAGTAGTAGAAAATGTATCCAGAGACCTCTGGCCCAGGACCACACTAGCAAGGGTACACCTGAGGGCCTCACGGACACCCTTGCATGCCCAGGAATGAGGCTGTCATTCAAAGCCTCACTGTCACTCTGCAGACTGCTGTATTCAGTGGAGACAGCTGTCTGCTGAGTTACCAAGGAGGGAGGATGTGAGCCTCTAGGGCCATCCAGATTTGGCTCTCATCAGCAAGAGAACATGTAATTATATTTTCCCTGCAGAGATGGGGAGGGAGATATGTTGAGATATGTTGGATTCTTTGGCAGGGGTTGCAGGAGGTTGAGTAGTTGGTACAGAGGTAGGTGAGCAAGTGCAATAACATTTATAAAGTACTTGCTCTGGGCAAGCACTGTACTGGATGCCTTACATGTGACCTTGTATGCCATCTTTGTCACCCTTTCTCTACATGTGTGCCACTTACAGAAATAGTCTAAGCTCACACGTCCTTTGATCAGTTATTTTCTTTGTTAATGCACTCACTACCACTAGGAAGGAAAAGAAGCCATCAAATAAGCAGTTCCTCCTTTTCCCCTCAAAGGAATCTTAATACTAAAATTTCCACAGATGTGTTCTTGGTGTTAGAATCTCAAGTCTGATCTTTAACCAGTTGTTATTCTCCCTTAAAAACGTCAAGCTCTACATTATAACATATATGAAACATATCAGAAAAATAATGTGTTACCTAGTAGTCCCTTTCCTCGGAGAGATATGTAATAAACATGAAATGTCAGTTATCCCATTTGCTTTCTCTTTCTTTTGAAACATTCATGAAAGTGACACAGAGGAGGAGGAAGATGACACTATCCACATGGGGAACGCGATCATGACCTTCTATTCAGCTTTGATTGACCTCTTGGGACGCTGTGCTCCTGAGATGCATGTGAGTTTCTGGGAGTTCAGGAGCAGCAATCCTGATTTCTCTGTGTTAAGACATCTATAGCTGTCAAAGAGCATAACAGCATCCAAAACCAATAATCTTCATGCTCCATTAAAAATAATAGCTGCAGTCTAATCACTGAACAAGTGTTTGTTTAGTTGGAAATGTCTCGTTGGTTGTAAAAATTAGTAATGGGATTTCAGTGCAAGTCATTAATAGAGTACTTAAGTTACTCATATATCTCTGAAACTCATACAGCCTCCCACATTTTAAGAAGAAAAGAACATATTTTCTCTATGCAATTTCCTCTTATGTTACAGTGCATCCAGAAAACAACTGCTCCTACCAAAAGTCATTTTCTTTTGTGTATTTAGCTCTATGTGTTTGCCATCGTTTTAGGGGAAAGTGAGAGGGAAGGTATAGGGGGTGGATATTAAGAGCTATTTAGACCATATAAATTAGTGTCTGTCTGTCTTTCTTTCTTTCTTTCTTTCTTTCTTTCTTTCTTTCTTTCTTTCTTTCTTTCTTTTTCTTTCTTTTCTCTCTTTTTTTTTTTAATTGAGGCAAGGTCTTGCTCTGTCTCCCAGGCTAGAGTGCAGTGGCATGATCTCAGCTCACTGCAATCTATGCCTCCCAGGTTCAAGTGATTCTCCTGCCTCAGCCTCCTGAGTAGCTGGGACTACAGGCACATGCCACCACGCCCAACTAATTTTTGTATTTTTAGTAGAGACGGGGTTTTGCCATGTTGGCCAGGCTGGCCTGGAACTCCTAACCTCAAGTGATCCAACTGCCTCGGCCTCCCAAAGTGCTGGGCTTACAGGCGTGAGCCAGCGTACCCAGCCTAGATTAGTATTTTCTGAAACTTTTTGACCCAAATGAAATTAAAGTTTCGTGGAATAATACTTTTACTCTGTAATACATTCTGATATTTTGTTCTTTATTTTATTGTAGTTGATTCTGTGTTATTCTATTATATTCATTTAAAAAAAAATCCTGGCCCAGGGCCCAAAACATTCATTTCCAGATCTTTTAATGGGAAACAAACCCAGAGTTTGAGAGTTTGAAACACATTGATTGGTGCTGGGGTAGTTAAGAACTGTAAGTATATTTCTAAAGTGGGATGAGCATGAAGCCAGGGCTTTCTTACAAAGCACCTTTTTCTCTACCCTTATTATCTATATTTCTTTTGGTTTTGGTTGGGTTTTTTGTGTGGTTTAGGTTTTTCATACCCAGAGGTTAAAACTTCCTTGATGTACTCTTTTGTTGTGAACAAAGAGGAGTCACAGGATAGAGAAATGTTAGAATGTTAGAAAACTGGAGTCTGATTTTTATAAAAACTTAAACTTTGCTGCTAGTAAGATTCTTTCATCTTAGTAAATGGAAACAGAGACTATTAAAAATTTCTGTGCTGGAGGTGATTACTGACAACAACAACAAAAATACTTGCTCACAATATTTGTTATTTTTCCCATCTCAGAAAAAAACATCAGCGAAACAAAGAGAAAGTATACTAATAAATAGAAGTTTTCATTCTATTATATTAATGGGGGAAAACTAAGTGAAGGAATAGGGGACCAACCTTGGCATTTCTGAAATTTATGCATCTTCACAACTATTATTTGAGGCCTCCTGTGTGCCAGAAATTGTGCTTGAGTTTCACGCCCTGTAATGAGGTAAACAGATGCCCATCCCGGCTCTTCAGACCTAGTCTGTCCTGAAGACTTGCTGAGATTCTTGACCGTATGTTCATCCACAGTCATCCTGGATACTTCATGTCAGTCTAAAAGAACTGTTAGGATTTATGTTCGTCATTTCCTCCACATTATATATCCAGCCTTGGGAGAAATCAGGGTCGAAGACAGATGGATATGCAATTCATTTCTTAGCACAAAGCAAGAAAGAAGCTAATTTGGTCATAAATATTAGTATATGTTCAGAGTCTAATGATAATTTTCTTTGTATTATTGCTCATGTTATTGATAGGTATTTACATGTAATTTTGGAAAGTAAACTTTCATAAACACGTCAGATTCTCAGTATATCTTAACAGTCCCCAAAAGGATAAAAACTATTATTCTAATGGATGAACCAACTGGCCTAGACCATAGTATAAATAACTTGGTGTATGCTGAAATCACTGAAAACTGTTTGAGCAAGTAAATATTCGCAGGTAAGCCAGAAAACTATTTCTGAGAGAGGCATAACTTTATGTATACACTGATCAGAAAATTATTTTGGACTTGGATTCCAATACTTCAGATTTCCTAGACAGAATTGTAACATTGATGTCACAAAGTTGTTCTAATGTTTTTTTTTCCCCTGTATAGTTGATTCATGCCGGGAAGGGAGAAGCCATCAGAATTAGGTCCATTTTGAGATCCCTCATTCCCCTGGGAGATTTGGTGGGCGTTATCAGCATCGCTTTTCAGATGCCAACAATAGCCAAAGGTAAGGCCAACTTCAATTTGTCCTAATTCAGTAGGATGTTGGATGACATCATGTTCTAAAGAATGTTTTCCGTACTCAACATCCCAACCTCTCCACTTCCTAAATTATGTGTATACTACTTAAATTAGTTTTTTTAAAAAAGCTGTAAAGTATATATTTTATAATTTTTTCCTTTTTTTTTTTGAATTAGAGCCTTGCTCTGTAGCCCAGGCTGGAGTGCAGTGGCACAATCTTGGCTCACTGCAAGCTCCGCCTCCCGGGTTCAAGCAATTCTCCTGCCTCAGCCTCCCAAGTAGCTGGGACTACAGGCGCCCGTCACCATGCCCGGCTAATTTTTTTTGTATTTTAAGTAGAGATGGGGTTTCACCGTGTTAGCCAGGATGGTCTCGATCTCCTGACCTCGTGATCCGCCTGCCTTGGCCTCCCAAAGTGCTGGGATTACAGGTGTGAGCCACCGCATCCAGACTTTTTTCCATTGTTTTTAAAGCTCATTGTTTTTAAAGCTGTGTTTGCTTTGGGATTTTAATTTTCTTTTATATGACATTTCAGACAGCTTCCAGAGAAGCAGAAACATGCACTGCTACCCTCCATTGTCTTATGTCCTGCCTTGTGTCATTGGTCGCAAGCTCTTCTGTCTTTCTTGACCTTAGTTCCTTAGTTATGCATTTTGATAGTTTTCATTGTCACTTTCTTGTAATGCTTTTCTATTAAAAGCACTGATGATAGCTTTTGACTTAGAGATTTTAAAATCCCCTCTCTGTTAAAAAGAGTGTTTGTTGTTTTTTTGGTTTTTTGTTTTTTTTGAGATGGAGTCTCACTCCGTCACCCAGGCTGGAGTGCAGTGGCGCGATCTTGGCTCACTGCAATCTCTGCCTCACAGGTTCAAGCAATCCTCCTGCCTCAGCCTCCCAAGTAGCAGGGACTACAGGCATGTGTCACCACGTTGGGCTAATTTTTTGCATTTTTTGTAGAGACAGGGTTTCACCATGTTAGCCAGGATGGTCTCGACCTCCTGACCTCACGATCCGCCTGCCTCAGCCTCCCAAAGTGCTGGGTTTACAGGCATGAGGCACTGCTCCTAGCCAAAAAGAAGTGTTCTTTTCATGAGTAAGGAGAAAATGTTTTTCAAGATTAAAGAAGTTATTGAAGACAACTAAAATAAGTGTTAAATCCCAAATTATACTTTGTTTTTACTTTATCAAATGTAAGGTGTTTTTTTTCAGTTTTCAATACTTTATTGGATATTTATACATAAATCATTTACATGAAAGACTTCTAATTGTAGAACAAAACATAATTAGGGGCCAGGCGTAGTGGCTCATGCCTGTAATCCTAGCACTTTGGGAGGCCAAGGCAGGTGGATCACCTGAGGTCAGGAGTTCGAGACCAGCCTGGACAACATGGCAAAACCCCATCTCTACTAAAAATACAAAAGTTAAACAAGCATGGTGGTGGGCATTTGTAATCCCAGCTACTCAGGAGGCCGAGGCAGGAGAATCGCTTGAACCCGGGGCAGTGGGGAGGTTGCAGTGAGCCGAGATTGCACCACTTCATTCCAGCCTGAGTGAAAGAGCGAAACTCTGTCTCAAACAAACAAACAAAAAACATAATTAGGCAGGAAGTGCATGCTATATATATTCCTTTTCTTTCATTAATTATGCCCCTAGAGAAGGCAGGCTATAATAGCTCAAGTCTAGAATGAAAGGGGTCACCATATACCTGAAGGTAGCTCATCCTGTTTGCCAGTCATGATTATGAGAAAGTAAAGCTTCATGTATGCTAACCTTACAAACCCAAATCTACAAGGTGGCAAAACTACCATAATAATTGAACGCCCATTATAGCTTTAGGCAAAGCTAGAAATTAAAAATCTTCCCCGCCTTTGGCTTCCCCATTTGAGACAGTTTCTTCTCCTTGTGCATCTGTAGCTCATCTTCCTTTGCTGTCTCTGTACCTCTCTTCTAACTCATTTTCATTTGCTTAAGGAAAATATCTTTTCTTTACTCTATACTTTGAGCCACAAAATAGACACTATCAGGACAAAGATAATAATAGTACCAGTGACATACAGATTAGGAAATAGGGAAGCATTAAATTTTGTAATAACATAATAACAAAGAACCAAGAACATAGATTGTAAGAGAGCCCAGGGGTCCTTTACAGAATGGGCCCCAAAGTTTCCAGGTACCTCCTCGTTTCCTCCAGTCATCTGCCTTTAGCAGCCTTCAAGAGTTTTCAAGTTGCTTTCTTTCCTTTTGTAGTTAGTTGTGCTCTAATATGTTATTTTTCTTCAAATATATGCAGTATATTGTCTACATCGGGAGTCACAGTGGTTTGTGTGTGTGTTTGTGAATTTTGTATCAGTCACAATGAAAGTTAACTTTTAACAACACAATCCATTGGTATTTGTTAGATCTCTGCTTTTTTTTTTTTGCTTTTTTTTTTTTGAGACGGAGTCTCACTCTGTCGCCCAGGCTGGAATGCAGTGGCGCAGTCTTGGCTCACTGCAAGCTCCGCCTCCCGGGTTCACGCCATTCTCCTGCTTCAGCCTCCCGAGTAGCTGGGACTACAGGCGCCCGCCACTATGCCCGGCTAATTCTTTTGTATTTTTCGTAGACACGGGGTTTCACCATGTTAGCCAGGATGGTCTCGATCTCCTGACCTCGTGATCGGCACATCTCGGCCTCCCAAAGTGCTGGGATTACAGGTGTGAGCCACCGTGCCCGGCCAAATCTCTGCTTTTTTCAGCCAGGTGTGGTGGTGCACGCCTGTAGTCCCAGCTACTCAGGAGTCTGAGGCAGGAGAATCACTTGAACCTGGGAGACGGAGGTTGCAGTGAGCCACGGCCGTGCCACTGCACTCCAGCTTGGGCAGCAGAGCAAGACTCTGTCTCAAAAAAAAATTTTTTTTTTTACTGCTTTCCTTTTGTGGAGAATGTAGACAGAAACCTGTAGGTTTTTATGTCACCATAGCTGTGCATTTAACTTTATGTGGCTGTGCATTCACTGCAGAGCTTCAACCACCAATATTTCTTTCTCCTTTTCAATGACAACTCAATTGGTCTATAAGCATCACCAAGTAGCAGTAATAATGGTTATTATACATTCCATATTTAGTATGTGAAGTTTGTCTCTAAAGAATGATATTTTCCCTTCTCAGGATTAGCTAGGGTCTTCCTCAGACATTTTTATCATATTTATTTCCAAGCTAGAGTATGCCTCAGAATAATAATGAAAGAAGGAGGGGTTCAGAAAACTTGAGGAACAAGCACATAATCTTGCAGCTCTTGGCCCAGACTGATTTGGCCGCCCTGTCTGAGGCAGTAATTGTGGGTGGATGAATACAGCAGGCACTGCTGGTAATTGCGGGTGGATGTATACAGCAGGCACTGCGGGGTGACACTGCTGCTCTGTTGTCTCCAGTGTGTTTGAGGAGATGGTGCAAATAAAACAGCAACTTGAGCCAATCCGTGAGTCTTGAGTTACAGGCAGATGCATTTGTGGCATTCATTAGAAACAATGTCTGCTTGGATAAGAGCTTAAAAAGCAAAGCATATAGAGCAGGATCGGTGAGCTTCTCCCTTTTTCCCTAGGCACAGCTACGGTTTAAGATAATAGAACACTGTACATTTAAATTCCTTTTTAATGCGATTTTTAGGAGAATTGAAATTGAATTTTATATAGATTTTTAATTGAAAATCATAATATACTGATTTGACACTAAGGTTAAGTCAGCTTTGGCTGGATTTTAAATCCAGTTTTAGTTGGTTTAAATACAACTCTGTCAGTTACTAGGTATGTGACCTTGGACTAGTTACTTCTCTAAAGGCTAGTTTTCGTCATTCATTGAATAAGAGTCATGATAGCAGCCTCACAGTTGGGTTGTGGGAATTGTGTAAGATCGTGTCAGTAACATTCCTAGTGCAGTACCCGACAACAGCACAACACATCAGAACTATTATTCTTATAATGTAAGGAAAGGAATGTATTAGTTATATTGGGTGTTATAATTATAAGGAACGAATACTACCAGGCATTATCCTTTCATCTAGTTTCCTTTAGAACATTATTTGTTTGTTTTCATGATTCACATATAAAATTTTTTCATTGACTATACGTGGAAACAGAAAAGTTGTCATTTTATTCATCAGTTTATTCAGGATGATTGTGGTCATGTGTCTTCTTTCTCTGAGTTCTTATTTCTTTGATGTTGTATCCATATGAAAATTTCTGTGATAGTATTTGTAGAAGAGTACAGTGTGTGGTCAGCACCAGTTTGGCGTAATTATCATGTGGTCAAACAGGAAGTAAATAAATTCTTCAGTATTTGAAATTGGCACATAATCCCATGATTTCTCATATCAGCGGTCCCCAATTAGGGAACCTACGGAGTGACTATAAGGAATTCACTAATCTCTATAGGCATAAAGCTTTAAGTGTTGATAGAGAAAGCAATATGACCCTTAAATGCACGTTAAATGCTATTATGATTAATGAAACATATTTCATATGAAAGCCATACTGGTTTTATAGTGTCATTTCATCATTTCGTTATTGTTCTAAGACGTGAAAATGTAAATATACCAAGATTATCACATAAAGGTAGATGAGCTTTATTCATGTTTAAAACAGGCTCACTTAGAAAAGAGTGAACATCCCCACTTCACATTTTCACTTTTCATGGATTTCACTTGGAGTTTTAGAAAGTAGATTTTGGATGCCTGTTTGTTTCTCCTAAGTATCTAACAATGCCATGTCTTGTATCCTGTATGCAGTTAACAAGTGGATGCCTATATAACAGTTAAATGACCTTGGCTTTACATTCACTGCCTTATTTCCTCAGCAAACTCCCATAATAGCTTGAGGGTAGTCGAAGAACAGAAAGCCATTTCATTGAAAACTGTGTTTAAAATGTAAGAAGTCTAGAAAGCAGCCATTTGTAATCTATCCTGTATATGACACAGCCATTGACACCAAAATTCACTTCTCTCTTTTAGATGGGAATGTGGTGGAACCTGACATGTCTGCGGGGTTTTGCCCAGATCACAAGGCAGCCATGGTTTTATTCCTTGACAGGGTCTATGGGATTGAGGTTCAAGACTTCCTCCTCCATCTTCTTGAGGTTGGCTTTCTGCCAGATCTCCGGGCGGCTGCTTCTTTAGATACGGTGAGATTGGAGCGATGGACTTCCTCCTCTCTTGACTCTTCACTCTGTGCCTTATGATGTTCTTTTTTATATATCCATTCATTAATTTATTGACAATGAATGTTTATTGAGTACCTGTTATATTTTCAGGTAAGCCATGGGTAAACAGAAAATAAACTAGGCTATGTTCTCAAGGAATTCACTGAATAAACTGACAACCTCAAGAAACTTCCCACTGACCAAAAAGAATATGATAAGAATTCTGATAAGGTGCTATATGGGATTCAATAAGAGGTTCACATAACTCTAATTTGGGAGGTCACAGTGACTCCTGTTAACCTCTGTTCAGTATCAACTTCCAAATTGGCCTAAACAATTATGCTTCTCAATAAAAGCAATGAAAGAATTAAGATGATTTAATGGATATTGTTGAGTCAGTATCATCTTGGTATCTTCGTTTGTTAAGGTACAAATGGATTGAAGGCTGTTCTGTATATTGGGTGGCCCACATGGAGAATCTGCCATTATCAGCTTAAATGTTCTTTTCTTTGAAACACTGTGGAATAAGCTGAAGTTCTAAATGTTATTGTAGTAGTTATGCTACTATACATATTTAATACCTACTTTCATGTACTCATTAATTTTATCAATTAAATGTGCTTTTTTGATTTCAAAGCACATTAGGACTTGAGCCGACAGTAGCCCCTTCATGAAATATATGAGAGCAGAATCACAAAAATGAAATGAAAATTTCTTTTTTCTTTGTTTTGTGTATTCACCTGACGTTGTGGACCTGGATAGTATGGGCGATAACATAGTAGTAATACAGTTATCCTTTGGTTATTGGTGCTGATAGACATGAGAAGAATAAATATGAATAATAAAGAGAATTCAGAAAGAATTTACGCATATGAGATCTATTGTGAGAATAAGCTCCTCTCTTTGCCTAGCAAAGGAAAATACTCACATCTGTGATATTATTGTCTTCTTACATTGATCCTACCATTGATATTTAATGATAGAGTCTGAACCTGTTAAGCTTTTTGAGGAGATAGGTGTCATTTCATTCATTTTTATCTATTTATGAACAATGGATAGTTGATTGTTTTTAGTGGTAAAAATCATATGAACCCGACACTTAAAGATGTAACTAAAGAATACATTTCCATGTGTCATAGTGCTATCATCTTCCGGATAGTGAAATTGTATGTCCCCATGTTAATCCCTTTGAAGATTATCTACTGCCAAACACAAATGGCCTTCTACTCTCTGATTCTTTTTCAGGCAGCTTTGAGTGCTACAGACATGGCCTTGGCCCTCAATCGGTACCTTTGCACAGCCGTCTTGCCATTGTTAACAAGATGTGCTCCTCTCTTTGCTGGCACAGAGCACCACGCTTCTCTCATTGACTCATTACTTCATACTGTGTATAGACTTTCTAAGGGCTGTTCACTTACCAAAGCTCAGCGGGATTCCATAGAAGTTTGTTTACTCTCTATTTGTGGGTGAGTGGATAACAAATTCTATTCCGGCTTCTTCTTTAAAAAACAGAATTTACAATGTGGCCTTTGACAAATTATTTAGAATTTTGGAAACATTTTCCATACCACAAATTTAATTCATTTTAGGTAGTCCCATATACTGAGGTATGAGTCTTCTCTGATCGCCCTTGCTCCCAGTCAAGTTCCAGAGTGTTCCTCCAAGCCTCCCTAGGGTATCCAGCTGTTGGATATAGCTTTTGACCAGTTACAGAATACTATTCTGGATGTTGGGAGTGGGGAGTAATTGTGTTGGGAGTCCTTGGCCACTTTAGGTGAGATGAATAGATCTCCCCTTTTGACTGTGTTTGATGATTTAACTCATCTTCTAGAAGAGAAAAGAAAAAAGGGACTTCTTAAATATAAAATGTGATACAGCATAATATTAAACCATATTTATGTGTGGCAACGATGAAGGCTGAATATTTCCTCCAACCTGGAAAACCATTTCCTATAAGTAGAAGTGCTAGAATGTCTTACAATGAAAACCAGAAACGTATCTCCCCCTGATGAAGTTTTGCCTGTGAAAGTGATAATTTCTCAAGCCCCTAGAAAGATCGTGGCTCATTTGTAACTGCTCAGGGACTCTTGCAGGTGCAGCCAGCAGCCTGGCAGTCCCTGGGGGAAGGGCAAGTTTTCACCCATGGGGGAGTGTCTGGGTTGAGAACCAGATGGCACTGAGGGAAGTGGAAAATCAGAAGAGTAATTCTTTAACTTCCCTAATCTAAGATTCTGTAAAATTGAACCAAAATGCCTATCTCACAGATATTTTCTAAGTATTACATGAGGTAAAACACTTGCTGTTGCCTGACACAGTAGATGTTCACTGTGTACATTTTCTCTCCCTTCCTTCTCTGGCAAATTTGCTGTCTCAGCCTTTTTTTCCTCCTTTCTGTTCCAATATTCCCTCTTCTTTTTCTTCTTACCATCCATTGGAATGAGGGAAGAGACATTTACTAAAGTTAATGGAGGAAAGTCTTAGGAAACAGTGGAGTCTGCATTTGTGAGTGGTTAGGAAAGAAAGGAGGAGAACAGAAACATCTTCTGTATCAAAGAAGGGGTGGTCTTCAGATCTAGGGGATAGAGATAAGTTGGGAAATCTAACCTTATATAAAATAAAGTAACTAAGTGGTTAATCTTTGGACAAAGAACATCTAATGAATACCATCTGAAGTGAGGTATAGATTCAGGTCCTTGGCTGATATAATTTATTCTAATGAATGATCTACTTAGTTTAGAAACATTTCTTGGCATTATGAACATTAGCTTTGTTCCAACAGACAACTGAGACCTTCTATGATGCAGCACTTACTCAGAAGATTAGTATTTGATGTTCCATTATTAAATGAACACGCAAAGATGCCTCTTAAAGTAAGTATAGGAAATGTTTGTAGATATTTGATTACTGGCTTCTCTGACTTTATTTTCTATGACAACATATACATTTCTTAGATACATCATGCTTGACGCTGGGAAATTTCTCCCAATTATTGAAATGGGCATAGAAGTTATAGGAATGTATACATCAACTTGAAATAAACAACTTCTATAAGATTATAGAAATCTTAACATTGATTTCCATGGAAACAATGGAAATAGAAATCAATTGAAAAAAAAGGACCACAGGCCGGGCGCGGTGGCTCACGCCTGTAATCCCAGCACTTTGGGAGGCCAAGGTGGGCGGATCACGAGGTTAGGAGATCGAGACCATCCTAGCTAACACGGTGAAACCCCGTCTCTATAAAAAATACAAAAAATTAGCCGGACGTGGTGGTGGGTGCCTGTAGGCCCAGTTACGTGGAAGGCTGAGGCAGGAGAATGGCGTGAACCCGGGAGGTGGAGCTTGCAGTGAGCCGAGATCGCACCACTGACTCCAGCCTGGGTGACAGAGCGAGACTCCGTCAAAAAAAGAAAAAAAGGACCACAGGGAAAAGATAAGCCAAGATACTCTTAAGTTGGAAAACATGGTAATAGGCCTGGCCTAAAATATTATTAGAAACCTCGAGAGATAAAGACGAGGCTTTAAAGACAACATTTTCTAAGTTAATAATCACATGACAGGTTCCAATTGTCACTTCATAGGGTTCAAAGATAACCTCTCTGTATATGCAATTATAGTTTGTCACACAGCATAGAAAAATCACTGGTATTTTCTCTAACTTTATTATTCTGTTCAGGATCAAGTCTCACTCTATCTTACTGAGTTGGGAATGTTTTCTTGTCCTTTAATATCATAATCTAGACTCAGAATATAGAATATAGTGTTTGCATCAAAGTTATATAGTAATGTGATGGATTTTTATAGATGACCACTCTGCAATGCCATCTAGTAGCATTATTTTTTCCCCAATGGCTACCCAGTACTAGTGCTGAAGAAGTATGAGATATAAAGAGTCTATATGGAGCTGTTACAGTAAGCATCCCTGGATATTTAGCAAAAGTAATCTTTCTCTATGAAAATTGACTTTGGTTTAATAAATCTGGATACATTAGTGAATTAGGTAAAATAAATTATATCCTTGATAAAAATTCTATTTTTATGTTTTTTTGTCATCTTCAATAGTCCTTGTCTTGCAAAATTTTTTGATACAAATGAGCTGGAAAATTCGTGAAAAAAGATACAGTCTCATGCTGTTACCCTTATGCAATAAAACTCTTTTACATTAGAGATATGTCAGTGTTAAGCCAAGCAAATTAGAACTCAATATTTCATCATTTGTGACTCCTAAATTGTGTGGATGTATGTATGTGTCCATTTTTTTTAACTGAAAGGGAAAGTAAATGAGTTGTAATATTTTAACAGTAAGACATGCAGTCCACTTTAATAACAGTAATTCTTATAATTTATTTTCTTCGTTAGATATAGGAAAGGGTCAAAATATGTATAGTCATAAGATCATTTTATTAATTTGACAAATATAGATCAAGAATAAATTATCCAAAGAACTACCAAATAATTGAAAGATTCTGTGCTTGTCCTTGACCTTCCAGTTTAGTTCTAAACAAGCAATATGCATAGGTGAAAATGTAAGGAGCAACGTAGACAATCAGTAAAGTAATAAATTGCATCCATAACCACCAAAGAAATGTAGACAAATAAGTGATCAGAGTAGAGCAATTTTGGAACTTCACTTGGAGAAGTAAGTTTTGTGGCAAGCCATAGAGAGGCAGAGAGGGAGCAAAAAGAATCACAGATGTATAGTTCCTTTATTGTGCTTCTGGGTCATCCTGACATCAGTCCCTTCATTTTACACACAGATTCCAAGATATTAATAACAATTCATTAAATTATTAGTAAATGATTAACGTAGAACTCAGGGATACATAGACATCCAAACAACCTCATAAAGAATCCTGTTCAAGATATAGTTACTTGTAAAATTGGGCGTCTGGTCTTCATATTGCAATCAGTGTTAAATTTGAAAGAGACATAGTGTCTTAGCCGGGGTTCTCTAGAGGGACAGAACTAATAGGATAGATGTATATATGAAGGGGAGTTTATTAAGGAGTATTGACTCACACGATCACCGGGTGAAGTCCCACAATAGGCCGTCTGCAAGCTGAGGGGCAAGGAAGCCAGTTCAAGTCCCAAAACCTCAAAAGTAGGGAAGCCAACAGTGCAGCCTTCAGTCTGTGGCCGAAGGCCCGTGAGCCCCTGGCAAAGCACTAGTGTAAATCCAAGAGTCCAGAAGCTGAAGGACTTGGAGTCTGATGTTTGAGGGCAGGAAGCACCCAGCACGGGACAAAGATAAAGGCCAGAAGATAAAGGCAAGTCAGGTTCTTCTGCCTGCCTTTATCCTAGCCGTGCTGGCAGCTGATTAGATGGTGCCCACCCAGATTGAGAATGGGTCAGCCTCTCCCAGTCCACTGACTCAAATGTTAATCTCCTTTGGCAACCCCCTCACAGACACACCCAGGAACAATACTTTGCATCCTTAAATTCAATCAAGTTGACCCTCAATATTAACCATCACGTGTAGTATACACGGTGATAGTATTCTCCAAGATAATTTATATGGGATTGGGCAATTTCACTTCAGATGACCTTATAATGTAGCATTAGAGTGTGATATGAGGAGAAATGAAAAAAAAATATAAAAGGTTTTGATAGCTCATTGCTTTTATAATTGTTTTCCCACATAGCTGCTGACAAATCATTATGAAAGATGCTGGAAATATTACTGCCTGCCTGGAGGGTGGGGAAACTTTGGTGCTGCCTCAGAAGAAGAACTTCATTTATCAAGAAAGTTGTTCTGGGGCATTTTTGATGCCCTGTCTCAAAAGGTAATTTAATGGTTTGTGGGTTTGTTTGTATCAATAAAATGGTATAGAGCCACACATTCTTAGTAAGATAGTATTCCTAGTTGAATACTATCTTTGCTAACCAAGACACGTATGGCTTGATTTTTTCTCTTTTCTCAACTTCATAACAAATGTTGAAAATGCAACTTATATTTACTTAATCATTGTGGTAGCATTTTCCTTGTGATCATAACACTGTTTCTGAATATAAAATGGCTAAGCAGTTCAGGAAATTATGCACAAGGTTGATAAGTTTCCGGTGCATTTGGACTCAAACTCTCCCTAGTCCCATCTCCAATCTTATAAAGGCCAAAGAAATTATATCCAATATAAAAATACAAAACATGAAATCTTATGTAATTGTAATATCCCAGTGCCCTGCTAAAGTCTCCAGCTTTGCTGCTATGGAGATTTAGATACCGTCGCTCAATGTTGCATTGCATATGTGGCATTGCCTTATAGTTGCAAAATTTATAATGAATAGTTCATATGTTTTCAGATGACTGACAGGTGTTGATCTTAGAGAAAAGGCAGAACAACAAGTTTTGTGTGTTCATCCTTAAATTAATCAAAATTAGTTTCAATTCCCAGATTGACATTATTAGATGATTGGAGTAGTATAACCACTAATTTGCTACATAATAGAAGAAAATTTGTCTGCAATTACATTTGGTAGCAACACTTTAATGCTTTTTCTTACCGAATTTCCTTTGGTAAACTGAGTCCTTTTAAAATAATGTGTAAGTATTTTTTAGAATCATTTACAACATTTATTTAACATTGAACATTTAAAGTGAAATAAATTATTACTATTATTTTTCAGAAAATCTATAAATATAAATTTAACTGTCATTAATATATAAATAGCTCTTCCTATAAATTTTTAGCATGCATACTTTCTATAGAATTTCTTTTCCAGCTCAGAATTTTATTTTTCAAAGCTTTATAATGCAACATGGATCAGTTAAAATTTCTCACTCTCTAGAATGTTATGCTTTATGTTTTTTTATATGTAGTCATTATAATGTACAGGAATTATCTATAACTAACTATAAGGAATGTAGTCCCTATTGACTGAAATTATGTTTATCTCTTAACAATATTTTACACATTGACAATATTAAAGTTTACTTCATTTCCAGTGTGTTGGAGAGTCAAAGATTTTATTCTCCTTAAGCTGAAACTTCAGTAAATCTAGCTGCAGCTTCTTTTCTGTTTGATGGGGTTTTAGGCCCTGTGTTTCATTTTCTGGAAAAAGAATGATCAGAGAGTTCAGTTAGTCCAGGGTAATTCAGATTTTCTTCTGCAACCTTCTGTCAGCCCTGATGATCATGCTGACAACTTTTGCCATATAGTAATTTTTTTTTTTGGTCCTCCATTTTTCCCAGAAATATGAACAAGAACTTTTCAAACTGGCACTGCCTTGCCTGAGTGCAGTTGCGGGAGCTTTGCCTCCAGACTACATGGAGTCAAATTATGTCAGTATGATGGAAAAACAGTCATCAATGGATTCTGAAGGGAACTTTAACCCACAACCTGTTGATACCTCAAAGTATGGACTCTTTCTATTGCAGCAGATTTTTATTGTAAATGATGTGTGAAGTCTGAAATTGAATAAGGTACTAAAGTGAACTTTCTCTAATACATGCCCCCTTTGAATTGGTATCCTTTTAATAGGGGTCCCTTTAATTTATAAAACGATAGTAATAATAATAATGATTATACTAATATCAGAAATAGATAAGATGTACCTTCTAGGATACTCTTAACACAATCAAGACTCTGTACATGGAATATCTATAATAGAATTAAGAAAGTATGTCAGTTATATTTTTAGTTGAAAAATTACCCTAAATGTTTATTAATAACGACAATCAACCTCTATATAACATCTTTTACTTAGGATGTACCCAGCATGCACTGCAAAGCTGTTTCTGCGAGTAGCAAGGGAATCCCTTCACCCATCACTACATCTCAGCAAGGCCCAGGGTTAACAGCTGATGTTCAGCATGATAAAACGCAGCACAAGATGGAAGGGAATATCAAATGAGAATTTTTATGGAAAATTCCAATTGTTCTACAAATAGGATGTTTGGGAACTTCAGGTGTTCGACGTCTGAGCATTTTGTTGTTGTCGTTACTGTTTTTAAGTAGGACCATGGTTCTCCATGTGCAAGGAAAGCTGCCTCTTCATGCCACCTTATCTTACTGATTCTATGGTGACTCAGCAAGATCAGTTTTAGCAAGGTAGACACTTGGTAGTTATTATCCACGGCTTCTGAATTTGCTTGGGAGTTCAACTTTGAGGCTTCTGAGTGGCCCCCAGCTGATTTAGCTTCCATAACCAGATCAGAATTTCAACCTGAGTGGTATGCCATTAGTTTGATAATGCCTTAAATTTGCATGTTTGGTCTTTGATGACAGTCCTGTGAGAAAAGACCCTTTCCCCCATCCCCCAGTATTTGGCTTATATGATTGATCTTTTGTATCTCTTCCGAAGTAAGTAAACCAAACTATCACATATTCACATTCCTACATGGGTAAGTTTGTGGTTTGCTAACATATGATCTCATCTGAGATTTTTAAATATCAGAACAATATCATGGTTTTGGTGTTGGTTGATTAAATCCAATTAATTAATAAGTGTGGGCATGGATATTAATTTACCTAGGCTTGCCCCTTTGGGGACTTCTTAACAGATACAGGTTTATGTGGTGATATCAGTGATTTCTAGACGATTACGATTTTTTATATATTGCTTCTTAAGTATGTGTATGTCTTATAGTTCAATTACTGTTAACTGCTGGAAAACAACAGCAAACCATCTTATACTAGATTTTATGTAGAATTGTATTCTCAAAGTTAATACTTTAATAAGATATATTTATTAATGAATAGAATTATGTATGTATGTATATATATTTAATTTTCCATTCATAGATACGTTTTAAGCCTTAGATTTATCATCAGACTTGGTCATCATTTGCATGTCCTCAACATCAAGGAATTAAATATTCATTTAAACACAAAAGGAGTCAAGATTAAATATTATCAAAAAGCAGGAGTTAATTATTTTCCCTATAGTTAATACCAGTAACATTTACAGTGTTATTTGTGGACCATGTATATTTAAAAATTTTAACACATCACTACTAAATTTAGTGCTTGTTTTTTCTTTTTTGTGTAATCTATTGTCCTAATCTTTGAATGTATTTTAATTATTTCAATTTATATATTTAATAATAATTGTTATTATAGTTTTATAATATGTAATTTGTTATGTTAGCACATAAAATATGAATCAATATAAGATGAGCAGATAGAACATTATCTGCTTGACTTTTCTTATATTGTTGTGAAAATAGAAAAATGTAATTCTAAAAAAAGAAGTCGTGTTTAACAGTTAAAATTGAATGAGATATAAGCATTCATAAGCTGTGAGTAAATTATTAATATGATTTCCTGTAAATTCTGTGAAAATCAAGCTCTTTTGTCTTTACTTTTCTCATAGTATTACAATTCCTGAGAAATTGGAATACTTCATTAACAAATATGCAGAACACTCCCATGACAAATGGTCAATGGACAAGGTAAAAAGAGTATTACATTCTAATTCAGTAGTCATTATTAATGACTGGTCACTGTTCAAATATTTCTGACCATGACAGTTTTCTGTTTTAAAATGAGAACTTGATCTAAATTAGGAAAAAATACTTAATTACAATTAGCTTATATAATAATATAATATTTAGCTAGCTCTATCATTAACACAAATATGATACCCTTATGAATAAGCACTATTTTAAGCTTTCAAAAGATCTATTCATTAAATTATAAATATAGTTTCTATAACATATATTGTTTATCAGAGTAAAAAAGCAACAATCACCAAGAGCTTCAGGAGGAAATGATGACTCCGGGTTCAGAATTCACCTTTTAAGGAAACTTTGGTTTTATATGTAGGTTTTTTTGGTTTATTTTTTGAGTCCTGCTCTGCTGCCCAGGCTGGAGTGCAGTGGTGTGATCATACCTCACTGCAGCCTGGAACTACCGGGCTCGAGCAATCCTCCTGCCTCAACCGCCTGAGTAGTTGGGACTACAGGTGCACACCACCATACCTTGCTAATTGTTAATATTTTTTATAGAGATGAGATCTTGCTATGTTGCCCAGGCTGGTCTCCAACTGTTGTTGGCCTCAAGCAGTTGTTCAGCCAGCCTCAGCCTCCCAAACTGCTGAGATTACAGGCATGAGCCACCATGCCTGGCCAGGTTTTATATGTAGTTCTATATCAGATAAAATCTTGAAAATTCTTAATCAGGATTTAACAATTATTTACCTTTTCTATTCTTCTGTTGTATTTCTTACTACCAACTAGATCTGCAGTTTACTAAAAATAGATTACATCGGCCAGGTGATTTTTTTGTGTGTTTTCAAGAAAAACAACAGAAATGAGAAAACTAAAGTAGCTGCATCTATGAGATAATTTCTACATATTATAAGTTTTCTAAAGGAAATCTTATGCCTACAGGTTCATGTTTAAGTTGAGCTTAGTCTAAACTTGACAGAGGATAAAGTAGGTTCATCAGAGGAGTTGAGTTGAGATAGTTCAAGAACTAAAATACTTCTATATTGGTTTGGCGAAATGAAAATCAGACACCAAAGGTTGCTTCCAGAGGATGTGTATGCTACGTAACAAATAAAGATCATCATGCTGGAGATGTCATGTTGAGTTTCAAACTCTGCCCTGGCCAGCCAGTCTTTCGGTCCCTCTAAGAAACCCTTTTTTGTTGGTTTTGATAAGTATCTGGTTCTTCATTCAGTAATTGATTTACTAGGTAAGTCAGTAAGGATCTATCTTATATAAAAACTCTGCTAAATACTGAGTGGGTGGAGTTGGTGATGGAGAGGAATATTACAGGAAGGTTTTCCAGTCTAATTACTCAGATTCTGTAGGCAGACAAGAAATTATATAGGGAAATGGTGATATGTACAGATGGGCAAAATAATATGGAATGAATGTGTTGAGAGAAAATTTGATGAAAGAATGGGTAAAACAGGTGGCATTATTCAGAGAAGACGCTGAGATGCATACTCTAGTTTTCCTATTTAAAATGCATGTTTTGTATTTACACTTCATAGGTGGGGTCCCAAGATGGGTCAGAATAAATATCCTTGGGACCATGCATCCCTCTAGCCTCCTCCTGTGGGAATGCTTATTGGCACAATTATAAGACCTTGGTCTGTTTAAGGAAGATCAAGTGCTTCTAATCTCTAGATAAAAGACTTGTTCCAGATGATTACTGAAAATACATCATGCAATATGTCCATGTAACAAAACTGCACATTTACTCCCTGAATCTGAAATTTAAAATAAAAGAAAATAGCATTGAATATCTTTATAGTGACTTATGCTGGATAAAATTTCAATCTTAACCCTTACCTTAGTTCATTTTAGGTTTATTTTATCAAACACGCACTTAAACACCTGCATATCTACAATCTCTAAAATTAACACGTGTAAAACAATTTTTAATGTTTGCCTTTTTTTAAGTTGGCAAATGGATGGATTTATGGAGAAATATATTCAGACTCTTCTAAGGTTCAGCCATTAATGAAGCCATATAAGCTATTGTCTGAAAAGGTAAGGATTTTTTGTTTGTTTTAGTTTGTAAAGTTTTTATTCTTTTGAAAAATGTGTTTTTTGGTTATATTTTTTATATTAAAATGTCTTCTTTATTTTAAATTTCACATTTTTTCTTCCAAAGGTCCCGTTTAAAAAAAAAACCTTCTTATATTTTGTCTTTTCCTCTCAATTCTTAATTTCTGTCAGCCTTTCTGTGTTTATTCTCTTCTCTCCTTAACATTTTTCTTTTCCTTTTTGGTTTTTATTCCTCTCCCATATTTTTAAGTACTTTAAAAAATCTTCTTATCATGCTTAAGAGTTTCTTGATGAGTGATGACAAAGTAATAATGTGCTTATTATGTATAGATTTTCATATATTTTACTTCTTTGGGAAAGAAATGAGTATCTTGACAAATGAAGTGAAAAGGATTTCACTTCATTGTGAGTCACATGTATATTACATAAGCTGTCCCTTTTTTCTGTGTAAGGTCCTAGGAACCGGGTTGCTAAAGGAAATTGACCTTGGTGCTATATAATGAACAAAGCGAGGATCCCTCTTACTAACATTAGTAAAACTAGATCTCTGCTCACACTCTGCTTTTCAGAATTTTACTTTCCTTTTTATATTTTTAAATAAGCTATGCTCATCAAATTTTTAAAAAGTGAAGGCAGTCTATTTTAGAGCAAAGCGTTACTTAACATTTTTATTTACATTCATAATATATCTGTTGTTTCTTGTTTTTTCTTCTCTAGGAAAAAGAAATTTATCGCTGGCCAATCAAAGAATCTTTAAAAACTATGCTGGCTTGGGGCTGGAGAATTGAAAGAACTCGGGAGGGAGACAGCATGGCCCTTTACAACCGGACTCGTCGTATTTCTCAGACAAGCCAGGTAAGAATTCATCACGGTGATGAATCAACTGTTTATGTTATGGATTAAATAATTTTTTAAATTTAATTATTGAGTTTTTCTAAAGAATAATCTGAAAATTCTGAAGAGTCACAAAATTTAGAAGGGAGAGAAAAAAGCTATATATATATTTTTTTTAGTTTCAAAGGAGGTTAAATGATGATTAAGTTACTGGACTTTATGTACAAGCCTTCCTTTTCCTGGCTAGTATAGAAGAAGTAACCAGTTGTAGGACATGGATGAAGCTGGAAACCATCATTCTCAGCAAACTAACACAGGAACAGAAAACCAAACACCGCATGTTCTCACTCATAAGTGGAAGCTGAACAATGAAAACACATGGACAGAGGAAGGGGAACATCACACACCGGGGCCTGTCAGGGAGTGGGGGGCTAGGGGAGGGATAGCATTAAGAGAAATACCTAATGTAGATGACGGGTTGATGGGTGCAGCAAACCATTGTGGCACGTGTATACCTATGTAACAAACCTGCACGTTCTGCACATGTACCCCAGAACTTAAAGTATAATAAAAAATTTAAAAGAAGAAGAAGAAGTAACCAGTTGTAAGGTCCTGAAGTTTTCCTAATGAAAACAGTACATCATGTTCGTTTGCTACAGCTAGTTTGTCTATAGGGCTTTCTTCTCATTTCCAGTGGGATCTGAGGGTTGATTCTTAGGAAAGAGTAGGGTGTTCAGACAGTCATGATCCAGATTTAGAAGGCACAAGGGCGCTCCTGTCTGCAGAGGGAAGGTATACAGCCACACAGGCAGAGCAAGAATTCACAGAAGATGTTGCTGCTGGACCATGTCAAGGGAGTTCGACAAACAAGCAAGGCTCTACCCATAGGTCTTCGGTGCTCAAGGTGGCAAGAGTAAGGCACAGCCTTGATGTGGAAAAGCTAGAGTTCAGGGAGGACACCAAATACCACCCGTTAACATTTAGTCACGAGGTCATGTGAGCTGCTTACCTTTGACCCCCTCATTTCTCCTGGGAGCTAAATCTGTCATTATTCTTTTCCTGACCCCTCAGCTCACTATGTATGTGGTTTACACCAAATATTGTTTATTATTGCTATTTACACAAATATCATTTTTGAAAAAAAAATGAGGGTCTAACAGCATGTGCTTCACATGCTCCATATTTGAAATATACTTTTAAATAAATTTGACCTTGGTCAAATTTTAATTTTAAATAAATTGAGTTCTGATTTGGGCATACTTTACATTCAATTGTCTTTGGGATGTATCATATATGGATGGAAGCTATAAAAGTGTATTTTATCTATTTTTTTGTCTGTGTACTTTTCTAAGTAGATTAGCTTTTATTTTAATCTGTTTCAACAAATGCTGAGCACAAACTGCGTACTAGATAATAAGAATACAAAGATAGCAAGACAATTCTAATCCTAAAAGTCATAAAATAGTGTTAGATAAGGTCAAGTTAAATCTACTACAACATGGTATGGTAAGGGTGGGACTAGTGGTATGAATAAGGCACTACACAGTATAGAGAAAGGGATGTTTTTTTTTTTAATTATTCTGTCAGGTAGATAAGAAATAAGAAATTACTACAAATGGAGGTGACTTTAGGCTTCATGAAAAATAAGGTAGATTCTCCCACTGCCCTTAATAACAAAAATTATGTACTCTAATTTAAAATCATGTATATTTTATATCACTCCTCTTTCTCTTTCTCCTTTTTGTTCTAATAGTAAGCCCTTAATAGACCCTATTAACCCGTGAAACCATCTCTCATGTCTTAGTGATTTTCACGGTGACATGTGATTTTTGAAATTCATTCTTAAATTTCATATGCGATTTCAAAATATTAGGCGATGCTTGTGCCAGAGGCACAGTTTATGAGATAAGAGGAAGGGCTATGGAATTTCACCACTTGGGCTTAAATCCTGGTAGTGCTACTTTCTAAAGATGTACCTTTGTGTACTTGATCTCTGTTTGCCTCATTAAGTGTGAATTCTTATTGTTACTATTGTTATGTCAATATTTCTGTGGAGGGCATTTGTTGAGAGCATCTCATTAGTGGTAAATGAAAGAGTATATTTGTGTTTGTAGCACTTTGGCCTGTAGGTGGGAAAGAAAGAATATTTCTATAAGCCTCAGAAATGGGGAGCAATATACACCAAAGGCCACAAGTCTATTTATAACTTGCCATTATTTTCACCCAAAGGTTCTTTAAGCATAAACCAATATTATTTGAAATATTAACATAGATTGTCGTTTCTCCGTTACTTGCCTTATAGCATTTTCTTTTTTGACTGTCATCTTGTTAAACCTCTTCGTCTTTTTTTATGTTACTGATTTCCTATGTGATTATAAAGCAATTTTCTATCATGTATAAACTCTTCTGACTAAAGGAACACTTTTTATAGCATCATTTTATAAAAGGAATACAAATGGATGAGTGAAGATCATGTGTAGATGTGATTCTGAGCCTGAATTCCTCAGCTTTTTTTCACTGGGGCTTAGCACTCCCTCAGGGACACACAAGTGGCCCATGGTTAACGGCAGTATCTGGCACAGCCAAGCCTGGGGTGACATTCTGGTCTCACCCATGAGTACCTAGCTGGTATCGTGAGCTTGGGTAAACTGGTTAACCTCTGTATGCTGCAGTTTTCTCATTTTTAAAATGAAGCTGGTATGAGCATCGGCTTTGAAAGAATGTTGTGAGTGTTCTGGTTATGATGCTTGTCAATCACTTAAAAGAATAACTGGCATATATTTCAATATAGGTGAGCCATAATTTTTGTCGTTATCATCGTTATGTGGATCAATAACCTGATGAATGTCCTTTGTTTACCATGAATACCACAGGAAGACATGAATCCTGATTTCAGGAAATTTACTGTCCACTTAGGGTTTTATAATTTGCATATGTAAGACAAACTTAAGGACATGAATAATACCAGTATCAACTTGACAGAATATACAATAGAGTATATAAGGGCTGATCAAAGTTACAAGAAGCTGATTGGAGAGGGGTTAACTGGGTGGGTTTTGACCCCCTCCTTGGTAGGGATACTAAAGAAAACAGCAAAAAACATTTCTGACAATTTCAGGCATATCCCACAGGTTTTCAACAATTATTTACTCCCAAATTCCAATTTCTTACCTTGTATCTGTTTTTCAGTACTACACATGTAGGACAAAAACTATTTAAAACAAATGAAAAATAAGCTTATAACCCGGAAGGGGAATGGAGATTAGAATGAAACTTTTGGAATGTGTTTCTTATCTAGAACTAAAATACAAGATAGGATAGAGGAATGGTGCATTCATTCCTTCAACAGATACTTATTGAGCACCTATTATGTATGCTGCATTGTTCTAAGCTTTTCAAATAGATCAGTGATGAAATGGAAAAAAATCTCTGCTGTCAAGGAGCTTACATTCTAATGGGGGAAATAAACAACATACTTGAAACTGGGCAAATTTCAAAAGAAAGAGGTTCAATGGACTCACAGTTCCACGTGGCTGCGGAGGCCTCACACTCATGGTGGAAGGTAACAGGCACATCTCACATGGTGGTAGACGAGAAGAATGAGGAACCAAGTGAGAGGGGTTTCCCCTTATGAAACCACCAGATCTTGTGAGACTTATTCACTACCACAAGAACAGTATGGAGGAAAATGCCCCTATGATTCAGTTATCTCCCACTGGGTACCCCCGACAATATGAGGGAATTATGGGAGCTACAATTCAAGAGGAGATTTGGGTGGGGACATAGACATAATAATGGATGAAGGGGAGTAACCCGAGATGGTTGCCATGGATTCTAGCTTGTGTCCCCAAATCAATAGCTGTGTTAGGTGAGGTAAAGACCATAGGAGTGCTGGGGACAGCAAGGAGAGAATAATGACTTTGATTTTATATGTTGTGGTGGGCAAAATTATGACTCCCAAATATGTTCACCCACTCCTCACTACAACTGTATGGGAACTATGGTGTTGATAGCAGTTATGGTGGTAGTAGTGATAATGATAGTATACTAACAATGAGAATAGCCATTTACTAAAATTCCTGATCCATTTCTTTGTGTCAGGCACTTTGCTAAGGATTTTACATCCATTACCTAGTTTCATACCAACCTTTGAGGCTGGTGGCCTATTTAGCATATTAAAAGAAAAACTCCAGGCCGGGCATGGTGGCTCACACCTGTAATCCCAGCACTTTGGGAGGCCGAGGCGGGTGGATCACAAGGTCAGGAGTTTGAGACCATCCTGCCCAATATGGTGAAACCCCGTCTCTACTAAAAATATGAAAATTAGCTGGTGACAGAGATGCGTGCCTGTAATCCCAGCTACTCGGGAGGCTGAGGCAGGAGAATCGCTTGAACCTGGGAGGCAGAGGTTGCAGCGAGTCAAGATCGTGCCACTGCACTCCAGCCTGGTGACAGAGCGAGACTCTGTCTCAAAAAAAAAAAAAAAAAAAAAAGGAAAACTTCAGACAAATTAAATTTAACAGAGTTTAATTGAACAAAGAACCAGTGGCAGTCCCTGAAACCAGGACAGGTTCAGTGAGAGTTTGGGGCTGCCCTGCGGCTGGATAATGTTTATAGATAAAACGGGATGCTCAAAAAACAGCAGTGAGGTACAGAGAAAGCTGGATTCATTCCACCATGGTGTTTGCCTTCTTTGAACAAGGTTTGAACAGTGTCCTCATGGTGAAAGGCACAGAAGCCAGGGTGCTGTCAAAACTGACCCGTAAGTTAAGTATCGCTCATGAGCCTGTTATTAGTTATAGCATATGTAACACTCACTTTTATTTCACAAGCATGATAATGAGCTATATTTTCATTTTGTTTTTAGTTTGCTTTTTGGGCATTTTTAATGAGAGAATATACATAATTATGGAAAATATCAAGATATAGTTTTAGATTTATAAGCAGGAACCAGAGCTCATTTCTGTGGTACACTTTCACATAACATGCCATTGGGTGGAAGGAGGTAAGTGCCCAGGATGGTTAGTGAAACTTCCTTAAAATTGATAAAGAGGTATATTTCATTTTTTAAAAGCTTTAATTCAGAAATTAAAGAAGTCTCTTCCTCGAGGATTTCCAAGTGCATTGCTGAATACTATATGATATACTATGATAATTTAAAAGTTGGTTATACTTTATCCTAACATTTGACCCATCAAGACATTTGTAAATATTGACGTCTTTGATTAACTCTTGCTTGCGTGAGGAAGAGTAAATTTCATTGCAGCCAATTTGGATTTGTAAGAAACTCAAAAATGTAATGATCCTCTGCATAAGATAATGTTTCAGAATTTTGGATTCATTGCACAATACATCAAATTCCGATAGGCAATTTTCAGAATTATCAATCATAAATCATTTTCAGACACCCAAATATAATTTTAATGTGCGAGATGTGTTTACAACATCATTTTGTATAGAAACTTGCCAGTTTTATCTAAGGAAACACTATGTTTGGAAATTTGTGCCATATTTTTAAAGTATAAGTTAAGTCTCTCTTCACAAGGTTTTTAATGAGGCACTGTTTTTTCACACAAATGATCTAGGTTTCTGTGGACGCTGCCCATGGTTACAGTCCCCGGGCCATTGACATGAGCAATGTTACACTATCTAGAGACCTGCATGTAAGTACTATTAACTTTTAAAAATAGTCTCCAAATTTAATTTTTAAGAAGCATAATGTAATGCTTTCCTGCATATATTTGGCAGCATGGTTTATTTGAATGTGGCGATCTATAATGGATCCATGGAATTTATAGATTATATACTCTAATTTTTTAATGCTATCAAAATTGATAGCTGGGTGTGGTGGCACGTGCCTATAGTCCCAGCTACTTGGGAAGCTGAGGCAGGAGAATCGCTTGGACCTGGGAGGCAGAGGTTGCAGTGAGCTGAGATCACACCACTGCACTCCAGCCTGAGTGACAGAGTGAGACTCCCTCTCAAAGAAAAAAAAAAAAGTTGATACAACTTTTTCTAGGGTGTTTCAGCCGTATAACATATTTTCCTTTAATAGCCATTTAAAAATCTCTATGTTAAATAGTTGTGTGTGAGAAGAAAGTAAATAGTTAATAATGCTCTGTGCAAGGGCCACCTTCTTTTAAGTTTTTCCAGAGACATTGATTGCATTTGCTTGCTCCATTCATAGTCTCATCTGTTCTTTTTTGTCACCAAGGAACCTACTTTGAAATAGCAGATTTGAAAGTAAGATAAAATTTATTGCCTTGAGACATAAAGTTAATAGGTCAATATGGTGTTCAAATAACATATTAGCATTGTTGGTAACTGTATTGTTCCAAGAGAAATAAGGACCGTAAATATAAAATTTACATATTGTTAAATTGTTTGGTTTGCCATTTGTTATTGCTCCCATATGAACGTATTAAAATGACACAGTAAACTTGAAAATCAAATGTAGAAAGAATCCGGGAGGTAATCTTATCAAAACCCAAAAGGTCACAGAAAGATTAACTTGGCTAGTCTAAGGTCTCTCACCTAGTTTGGACAGAGATTGATTTAGAAATCAAATCTTTGACTGTCCATCTAACATTCTCCATATTCAAGTTGCATAAGGTTTAGGTCATTTTTAAGGCTTTGGAAATTAAAACAAGAACTTGTAAATACAAATAGTTTTTCTGAAGTCCATAGCTATTTTGGTTTCATTATTGAATTAATGTCTTCAAACATTATGAATAACAATGACCATTTTCATTTGCTGTTTAGTTACTGTATAATATTGCAAATCCTTACAATTCTCTGGGATTCACATTCTAAAGAAGAGTGTTTGATATCTTTTAAATGTATCATAGCACTAATACTGTATGAGTTATTCCTTTACGGTATCTAATATTATATATTAGAAAGCAATATTATCCTTTTTTACTTATTGAAACGATAAATATTTTTGTTCATTTAAGGCTATGGCAGAAATGATGGCTGAAAACTACCATAATATATGGGCAAAGAAAAAGAAAATGGAGTTGGAGTCCAAAGGTAATATTTTCTAAAAACGTTTATTAAAAAATAATCTGAGCTCAATTCCATGAGTGTATGGATGAAGTCGTCTTCAGCACAACAGCTTATTATAACTTTTTAAAATCAGAACGGTTTAATTGTGCCTGTAACAGATTGAAGTTGGAAATGCTGTAATTTCCTAGTGGCTAGTATATATTTTCTTGTGTCTCAGAATTTTGACAGCTTTCTTTTACCCATTTTAGCTTACAGACTTCTGTACTTCTCATCCTGATATCTGAGTTGTTCTATGAATGACTTAGACTTCCCTCCCTGACTCTCTTCCCCAACTTAAATATCTCCTATCTCACCCCTTTTTATTTCCTATCTCAGCCTCTTTTGTCTGGTCCAGCTATGTTACTGTCTCTTACATGCTTTTGCTTGCACTTTTCCCGTTTTTTTATTCAAATACTAAATGAACTAATGTTCTCTTAGTTATTTCTCAAGTCTTTTAAAATTTATTTGCATATTTTCTTCAGTTTAACGTATGCTATGCTGATGATATCTTTCAACATTATTTATTTGCCGTTAGTCTATACACATATTGTTTATAATGTGGTGTCTGTGTGTGTGCGCGCATATGCGCTGTCGTTAATGACTTCCTATATGGTTTTCTTTCCCCTGATAGGAATATACTATTTTCGAGCTCAGGGCCACAACATTTATTTCTTTTGTAATCCTTATTGTATAGTTACAGGTGCCAATAAAGCTTCTACTTTTTATTTATTTGACTAGGTGAAAATGTAGAAGGGGAGAAGATTTTGAAAGTGGGGATATTTCATGGTGAAAGGTAAAGCTGTGATATGGAAGGATGGTACCTGGCACCAAGCACTAGGAAACAGAGTAACACAAATTAGGATTGGTCACAGAGAGGAAAAGAGAAGATTCCACATTTTATTTTTTATTTTTTTTATTTTTTATTGATCATTCTTGGGTGTTTCTCGCAGAGGGGGATTTGGCAGGGTCATAGGACAATAGTGGAGGGAAGGTCAGCAGATAAACAAGTGAACAAAGGTCTCTGGTTTTCCTAGGCAGAGGACCCTGCGGCCTTCCGCAGTGTTTGTGTCCCTGGGTACTTGAGATTAGGGAGTGGTGATGACTCTTAACGAGCATGCTGCCTTCAAGCATCTGTTTAACAAAGCACATCTTGCACCGTCCTTAATCCATTTAACCCTGAGTGGACACAATACATGTTTCAGAGAGCACAGGGTTGGGGGTAAGGTCACAGATCAACAGGATCCCAAGGCAGAAGAATTTTTCTTAGTACAGAACAAAATGAAAAGTCTCCCATGTATACTTCTTTCTACACAGACACGGCAACCATCTGATTTCTCAATCTTTTCCCCACCTTTCCCCCCTCTCTATTCCACAAAACCGCCATTGTCATCATGGCCCGTTCTCAATGAGCTGTTGGGTACACCTCCCAGACGGGGTGGTGGCCTGGCAGAGGGGCTCCTCACTTCCCAGTAGGGGCGGCCGGGCAGAGGCGCCCCTCACCTCCCGGACGGGGCGGCTGGCCGGGCGGGGGGCTGACCCCCCCCACCTCCCTCCCGCACGGGGCGGCTGCCGGGCGGAGGGGCTCCTCACTTCTCAGACGGGGCAGTTGCCAGGCAGAGGGTCTCCTCACTTCTCAGACGGGGCGGCCGGGCAGAGACGCTCCTCACATCCCAGACGGGGCGGCAGGGCAGAGGCGGTCCCCACATCTCAGAGGATGGGCGGCCGGGCAGAGACGCTCCTCACTTCCTAGATGTGATGGCGGCTGGGAAGAGGCGCTCCTCACTTCCTAGATGGGATGGCGGCCGGGCAGAGACGCTCCTCACTTTCCAGACTGGGCAGCCAGGCAGAGGGGCTCCTCACATCCCAGATGATGGGCGGCCAGGCAGAGACGCTCCTCACTTCCCAGACGGGGTGGCGGCCGGGCAGAGGCTGCAATCTCGGCATTTTGGGAGGCCAAGGCAGGCGGCTGGGAGGTGGAGGTTGTAGCGAGCCGAGATCACGCCACTGCACTCCAGCCTGGGCACCATTGAGCACTGAGTGAACGAGACTCCGTCTGCAATCCTGGCACCTCCAGAGGCCGAGGCTGGCGGATCACTTGCGGTTAGGGGCTGGAGACCGGCCTGGCCAACACAGCGAAACCCCGTCTCCACCAAAAAAATACGAAAACCAGTCAGGCGTGGCGGCGCGCGCCTGCAATCGCAGGCACTCGGCAGGCTGAGGCAGGAGAATCAGGCAGGGAGGTTGCAGTGAGCCGAGATGGCAGCTGTACAGTCCAGCTTCGGCTCGGCATCAGAGGGAGACCGTGGGGAGAGGGAGACTGTGGGGAGAGGGAGACTGGAGAGGGAGAGGGAGAGGGAGAGGGAGACGGGAGAGGGAGAGGGAGAGGGAGAAGATTCCACATTTTTAATTGCCTATTTCAAAATGCTGCTCAGGGATAATATGCCTGTATTCTAAAACCACCCCATAAATGTTTGTTAAATGAATGATTAATTCATTGTTTGGCTCATGGATGCATGGATGAATGGATGGATGGCAAATGAGTCATAGAGTTTTGTTTTGTGAAATTCTTGACAGGGTATTGCCCACATAACTGGTAAACAAAATCACTGCTTATTACATGAGCAGATTACATGAAAAAATGTCTGTTCCTTTTTTTAAACTATGTTTAAGTCACTGTGGTACAGTTAAATTAAAAATAATAAGCAGCTATCTTATTACAGGTTGATTATCCCTTATCCAAAATGTTTGGAACCAAAACTGTTTGAAAGTTGAGATTTTTTTCTGATTTTTTAAATATTTGCATATACTTACTGGTTCAGCATCCCAAATCCCAAATCCAAAAGCTTAAATGCTCCAATAAGTGTTTCCTTTGAGCATCATGTAGATACTCAAAAAGTTTCTGATTTTGGAACATTTGGATTTCAGATTTTTAGATTAGACCTATTCAACCTATATGCTTTTCTAAATAAGCATGATAGAAAATCATCATTATTTAAATTTCTGAGCCAGATCGATATTTTCTTTAAGTCATACCACTCGTAAATGGCACATCCATACTTCTGCATACAACTTGTACTGGCTCAAATTTGTATTCTGTAGTTGGGAAACTAACCTAGTGGCAGCAGACTAAGTGGTGAGGTAGGGGAAATTAGTCCTCGCAGTCTTTAATTCTCTTACTGCATGTATGGATCTCATTTTTAAAGAGGAACTAGTTTAGAACCAAAATGGCAGACCAGTAGGAAACGTGTTGAACTATACAGTCAGGATCCTGGCTTTTAGGTTATTGAGATTAGCAAACCAGAGAAATGAGTCTTGGGCATAGAAGATAGGTTACAGACTGTGGCCAGTTTCAGAGCAGAAACGACATGTGTCTTTTTTTCAAAGTTGTTTTCTCACTCAGAGACATTAATAGTGGGGAGGATCCTTATAGCCAACAGTTGTAGGCAGTTGCATCCTGCCAGCTCTACTCCCACTGCCGATAAGAGGTAGGTGGGAGGAATCTGTCACCACCTGATGTCTTGGTGCCTGGGTGTGTGTGTGTGTGTGCGTGTGTGTGTGTGTGTGTGCGTGTGAGAGAGAGAGAAATAGAAATAAGAAGTCAGAAACACTAAAAGAATCAGGGCCAAAGCTGCACAGTTTTGTTTTCACCCATTCTCTTCTCTTTTATCATCCCTGCATCTGTGCAGAGAAGATGAATCTGCTTTAGGGAAATCAGGAGAAAAATGCCTCCTTTGCTTGCCTTAGTCATCTGATCCTCAGTGCTCTTTTGGAATCTAGAAAAGTCTGAGGGAAAATCAGATGCCATAAGGAGTTAATAGAAATAAAGGAGTGTAAGTCCAAAAAGTATGATTAGTGCCCCCAAATTAGTAAAAAATGTTATTTTCCCACTGCCACTTCAAGTATTTTGTACCATGGTCATCTGTTGTTAAGCCACAGACAGCCCACTGCTGTCAAGCATTTTTTTACTGTTTAGTATGAATGGGTTCATGAGTCCGTGCTGGTATGTTTGGTAATATCCTCAGAGTTACTGCTCACTCATTTACCTCTCCATGTAGCTGATTTCCTTCAGCACAAGATGTCTACACCCATATCATAAATGGGAAAGTTGAGGGTGGAGGAGCAACGTAAATGTCCACGGTCACACTGCTAGTTAGAGGCACAGTGCTAGTTCAGTCACCTGGCAGGCTTTCAGATCCCTTCGCCATCTAGTTCAATGAAGGTCGAAGAGGGTGAGAAGAGTTTCAGAGTTAGTGGGTACTTTGCATTCTTAGGATTTTTAAATTATAGACCTCTTTAAAGCATCTTTCTCTTTCTCTCCCCACTTCCCCCACAGTAACTTATTGGTATGCGGCCCCAAAATCACTGATTACAAATTAAGTTGCCAAATTAATAGCATTCTCTGGGACTAAATGCAGTGATGGAGTTCAAACTAGGTGATGGTTGATTAAATTAGGGTGATGGAATTCAATCCTTGATTTTAAAAAGATTTTTGCTTTTATTTTTAACTGATACATAATTGTCTATATGAGGTACAGTGTGATATTTGCATACATGTATACAATGTGTAATGATCAAATCAGGGTAATTAGCCAACCCATCACCTCAAACATTTATATTTCTTTGTGTTGGGAGCATTCAAAAACTGCTCTTGTAGCTATTTGAAAATATATAATAAATTGTTGTTAATTATAGTATCCTTATAAAGTGTCCTGTTTAATTATATCTTTGATTAGGACAAAAGTCAAATTTGGTTTCTACTAAACTTAGTAACATATTCTATACCCTCTGCTGTTCACAAGTGTTTGTTATTATTGTCTTCTGACAACTGTTTGTGCTTGATATTATTAATATACTGTGAAGTACCTGAATTCCTTATTATGGTTAGTATTTGTTAGCTTGGTAGTTCTTGACCAGCACCTTCCATGTATGATAGCACAGTGTCACCTAATGGTATTAAAGTTCAGTGGGCGATTGCATGTCTGTAGATGGCGCTTTCAGTCAAAGCCAGCACTAGGGAAGCAGACATTTCCTCCTTTGCTTGCTTATTTATTGTGTAGGGCTAATTCAACATTTGTGATTGTTGCAGTAGCTCCTGGCTAAACTATATTGGAAACTGATTTCATAGGGTTATGTTGTTACAATTCAAACAATATTTATTCTCAATTATTCTTCCTGGAATTCCCTTAGCAGTTGTATTTCAGGGTAGTTGAGCCTCTCACACAATATATATTACCACACATGTTTTACGAATGTTAGATGTGAGGCATACCATGCTATTCGGTTTGCTGCTGTTTTAATAGCATTCTTTGTATCAGATCTTTACATCTGAAATTAACAGTTTAATTTTTTTATAATTTTTGCAAAATTTTAACCAAAATTTTTACATAATTTATAATTTTAGAAAGGTTTTTCTCCCTATTAGTTTTTTTAAATTTACATATTTTCTAGAATTTTTAAATCTGAAAGAAAGACTACTTTTAGTAAGTATTATCAGGATAAGTATACTAGGAATCTAGACTCTTGCTAAAATGTACTTGCCCACGTGGTTTAAAGTCAAGTATTAGACACTTAAGAGTGATCCACTTTTAATGTAGCACATCTACATATGGTTTTGTGTATTTATAAATAATGTGACTATGAAGTACTCTCTGATCTGAGAGATATAATACAAATTCCATATTTAAGACTTTTTCTCTTCTCTCTGTGCGACAGCAGATGAAGCATAACCCCTGAAACATGCCTTATAACTTTTCTAAATCCAGCTAAGTATGATTTAGCATTTGTTTCTACTCTCCACATTCAGAATTGCTTTGAACGCAGAAGAGAATACAGCTGCTTCCCTCTCATTGGCGAGTGCAGATATTATTGTCACTTAGTATTACAAATGCATGCATGTTCATGTTTTAACTGCCTCTTAGAAGGCATATGCACAGTCTTTCTGTGAGTAGTTTTTCTGAATTAATTGAAACATTAAAGGCAGTAGAGGCAGAAGAGTCTTATATGCTCTATGTATTATTAAAGGATATGGAAAGTTTTATAGTGTGGTCCAATTATATATCTGTGTCTCATCTCAGATTCTTTTCAAATTACTATGCTGTGTTCTTGTCCTGACATACTCTTAGGAGGAGGAAACCATCCTCTGCTGGTGCCCTATGATACACTGACAGCCAAAGAGAAAGCCAAGGATAGAGAAAAAGCACAGGACATCCTCAAGTTCTTGCAGATCAATGGATATGCTGTATCCAGGTAAAAGTACACATACCCTAAGTACACACTCTTTTCACAAGAGTGAATATTTAAATATCTCCATCATATTTAAAGCTGAAAATGAATTCAATGATCTGTTTACACTTTTGAGGTACTGTTTAATATGTTTAAAATACACACATCAGAAACATTAACACCCCTAGCTGTGTACCATATAACTGAGTTCCTTTTGCTACATATATTAAATCAGCATCCATCATTTAGGCAAAATCCCCAGGCAAAAAATCACACTCTGTTTTTGTAAATGCAACACTTCGTTGCATAGTAAGAGAGTCACTCACTGAAGCTTTATATCATATGCAAAATATTCTTTATAGGTTAAATCTTACTTTTTCTTTGAGCTACAATAACATTAGAAAAACTTCAAAATTTATATATATAGATAAACATATATGTATGTATATACACATATATATATACACACACACAATTTTACCTTCTAAGAGGCTTTGTACAAATTGCTTTCCCATTTTCATTTTTGCTCTTCCAGAGGATTTAAGGACCTGGAACTGGACACGCCTTCTATTGAGAAACGATTTGCCTATAGTTTCCTCCAACAACTCATTCGCTATGTGGATGAAGCCCATCAGTATATCCTGGAGTTTGGTAGGTACCATAGTCCCATTGCTAATAGCCCAGTGTTTGTTGTTTTTAATGTTTACAACATCAGGATATAGAACAACACAGGCTGCTGAGCTATTTGTGATGGTATAAACCCATCTATTCATCCTACTACTAAGTAGAGTTCAACGGTCAATGGATGAACAAGTTCTTGGGGAGTGGGTAAAATCTGTGAACTTTTAAAAATCTAACATATAAGTTATTCCCCTTATAATGTTTATTGGCATTTATTTGTTTTCATTTTGAAAGATACATTGGAAGGACATCAGAATTTGAAGGTAGAGTTAAATCTCGCCTATGAAATCAGTTGCTCTACTCATAAGAAAAACTTCCAAAACTATGGATTTTCAAAATTTCTAAACACTATAGAGGTCTTGAGTTTAGCCTTTGCAGGGAAACACGTTAATACTAGAGTAACTGCTGTGCAGAATACTTTATTATTGCTCTTAGGGTACAATGAAAGACCTCTTCCCCGTCTGGCCCAGTGCTGTCTCAAAATTTTTAAAACCTCATTCTTTAAGTCTTAGATTCAGCACAGATGATGAAAGCAGCCTCCGGTCACTTCTGTTATTTTGTGGTCCTCCCACATTGTTGAATTAAAATTCGACTTGTTAATTTCTTACCTTAATGTCAGAGCACCTTCCAGCCACTGCGTAGTAATACGATGTAAGGAATTCCAGTTTGTTCCCTTTTGAAAATAGTGTGCTTTTCTGGTGGTTATTCATTTATTTTCATTTTCGTTCTCGACGTTTTCTCTTTGTTTTTAACACTCACTCCTTTTGTCATTCAACACCTTTCCTCTGGGACCATTCATCTTGGATCCCTTAGCTGCTGTTTGTCTTAGGATGTAAATCTAGTTTCTGCCATAGCATCAGATTAAAGTTTGTAGAAATTAGAGCTCTGGTATTTTCTTCTTTCTGGCCTCTTGTATCCTAAATGTGATTAAAGATTTTCCAATTGAGCATCTTTCTCATAAACAATTGACTTCTCTTTCAGCCTGCCTCTACAGTTCAAATACTATATTATTGCTCTCTTTGAGCCCTTCTTTTTCTTAAAAGCTTACACTACAAGCTAATTTATAATCTGTAATCTCTCTATGACTCATATAACTAACAATTTTTAAAAATATGATTCCTGACTTATCCTGATACGTAGCCAAATTAATCTGAATTAATGAAATTTAACCGAAGAACAAAAATGAGGTAGGGGTGAATTATTGAAGCTTTTACACACAAAGCTAAATATTGCAATTTCTGATCTACATTTGAAAGGATCCGATATGCGTAGCAACTCCAATATCCAGTCTTGTTTTTGGAGAAACAAGGGACAGGAGAGAAAGAAAGAGTCATCATTTGGAGAAAGGAACAAGAAAGTCATTTGTTTTTTACTTTCACATTGGAGAACACAAACACCAATATGAAGGGAAGAAATGTATTTAGGTATTATTCACAGTTTATTCAAATTTCTGAATAAACTACCTACTACAGTTTTCTTGTATGGGGGTGGGGAGAATCTTGCTCCAGGGTACATCTACCCACTTGACACATTTCATTCTATCCACAGGGTAGAGGGCCTTATAAACAGAGCACAGGAGAGAAAGTAGGCTACAATGACAGAGCCCAGCCAAATAACCTTTTTCACAACTCCTGATGTTGTGTGTACCGTTTTCAGATGGCTTGGCCAGGGCAAATTAGGTACAAGAACTCTGTTAGAGGAGCAGATAGAGCTGTGATTGTCAATATCGTGTTTATTTTAATTTCCATCTTTCATTGTTATCGCAAGTGAAACTGCTATATTGCCTTCTCCCTTTATCCTTCACTTTGGAGATTTTGCAGCATATCTCTAATGTAGCCATTCCTAGACCTAAGTTAATTGTGGTAGTAAAAATATGCATATGCCTTTTTCTAATTGTTGTATAATACCGTAGATTGTAATCTCTCCACATCTTTTTCACATTTTGCACAGAAGCATTTTTTTTAAATGTAGTAAAAGACATTTCCTATTTAATTCATTGAAATATGAGCAGATTTGGCTGTGTTCAAAATTTTCTCTTGACATAACTTCATATGAGAAAGTCTCTTATATGAATCCAGCCATTTTGCATAATGTGCTTAAGAGAGATTCAAATGCCAAAGTGCCATGCAAATGAAATTTGCAAGTGTTAAAAAACCATAATTTTCTTTTACTTGTTCATGGGGAGAGCATTCTGATATTGCAAAATAATTGCATAAGTTTCCTATAAATTATATTGTATTTTTGTCTAAAATTTGATAAACTATTATCTCAAGTTATTATTATTATATTATTTTGCAAAATAACTTCTTCAAGCAAAAGTCAGCTTGGCTCTTGAATATCTGGAAGCTCTGCTTACAAATTTTACTAAAACCTGATAGCTCTCCAATATGTTCTGCATGCCATCGTTGTTATTATAGTTGATTATTACCTCGTCTATTAATATATGCATGAACCTTTTCCATATGCATGAAGGAGGTGAGAAAGGCCACCTTCTAAGCTAAATGAATTAGGTTAATCAATTCTTGACCTTGGTAAACCATGGGGAAAACTTGGGTGTTTTTGCTTCACTTATGAAAATTATCTTTTGACATAGGTCAAAATTTCTTTATGCTTTAGTGGAATGCTAATTTGCCAACCTAATATTAAAATTGCTGTCCTCCTCCTCATCCCAGATCCTGACTTCCTGCAGTTTTTTAGTTTGTGTCTTAAATTGAGAAGCTTTAACTTTCGGTCACACGAAGAGGCAATCTTTATTATTAGAGGCCAGGGTTAATATCTAGCCAATTATGTTTATTCAATTTACACTCACTGTCCTCTTCCCCAGTGAGCTTCTTTTCTTAAAGGCTACTGAAAATGTGGGACTTTTACTCTATTCTATTCCATTTTCCCCTCTCTATGTCAATAAGATCTCAAAGCTACACAAATGTGTTTGTGTCTCTAACCACAACTATGGGCTGTCCTCAATAGCTTTTTAAATTTAGATTTGGGTATTAAACATCCTTTTATTTTTAATGACACTGCCAAAGTTTGCCTTTATATTTTTGGTTGGCTTTTTACATTCAGTTTAGCGGGATAATACATTTAGCAATGCTTTCTAACCTTTGCATTATGGATGAATATCTTGCAATGTTTCCAGTGCAGCATTTACCTAAAAACTCTTCAAATCTACAGATGGTGGCAGCAGAGGCAAAGGAGAACATTTCCCTTATGAACAAGAAATCAAGTTCTTTGCAAAAGTACAGTATACAATCTATCTTGTTTTTGCTTCAATATGTTTGTTTACATACCCTACTCATTAGATCGTTGCCCTTTTCAGAACATACTTGTCTACAAATGTGTATTTTACTGCACGTAAATATTCTGTGGCATGAAAATAACTGCATGAATCATCTTCCCAGCATTCTTGGTCAGACTTTAACTCTGCATTCCCTACCGCATTCCTTCTTCAAATGACTTCATTCTATCTGAGGTTTAATTAGGTCTGCATTTTTTTTGTTTTATCATATGATATGGAATAAAAAATATCTATTTCTTAACATTTGGATATTGTTATGATTTAAAATTTCTAGTTGAGAATTTCTTTTATAAATAGGAAAGTCTGAGTTAATTCATAAATAGGCACATTATAAGAACATTTAGTACAGAATATTGTGGGACCTTAGTCCTGCTCATTTTATGGAAGATCAGAGAGGATAAATTGTTTATATACAAAATATATCCCATTGGTATTATTTATTTTGTTTCATAAGCATTTATCAGGAATTTGCTATATTACTGGAAAATTCATCACTTTTTTCAGCCAAAAAGGGATGGACATGAAGAGTTGTAAAGTCTCCGAATGATTTAATGCATTTACTTAGTATTTACTGTGTGTCTAGTGTGGGTCAGGCATTAGGGTATGGCCCAGGGATGGCCATGAATATACAAATGCCCCTGGGTAAGCTTTCTTGTTTAGGACACCTTGCAGTGAGCCTGAAGACCTAATTACTGCTGTCTGCTTCCTTTTAAAGTACTTGCATTCAGCGATTACAGATAATTTGCTATAAATACAACTTTTGTGGACTTTAAAATAGCATGCTTTTTGATTGATGAATATTTGACTTGTAGTATGTTTTCAAAATTGTGTTCTTTACTGTAAAACACATTTCTGTTGTCTTTTCTTCCCATTCAATATAGCACTCAGAGTCTGTTCCAATCATTTGAAGATCCAAAGTTTGTCCTGGGGTGCACATAGTTAGCGATTCATGAATTGATAGATCCATATATATATCTCCGGTCTCTGTGAGATTGTAATCTTTCTTGATAGCCAATTATCAGAATGCTGTATTCGCAGCCTCTAATTTTCCCTTTAAAATACATTCTTGTGTTGCCCGTATACTCAGCACCCCCGGTGCATCTGTTTACAGATGCTTAATGTGGCTTAATTTCTACTAAGTCTATAATTCATTCGTTTACCATATTGAGTACCTACTATGTTCCAGTCACTAAATTCAAGCAATGTCCCAATTGTCAAGGAAGAGCAATAAAAACTGGTGTAGTCCCCATTATATATAGCTGTGCTCTACCACATGGTAGGAAAAAGAAGTATGTTTAGATAGACATGAGTTTGAATACTGGTAGTGCCGATCTTGTTCTTGCTATGGGCCCGTCACAGTCCTTAGCACTAGGGATTCAGTGACAAACAGAAGAGACCAGTTAATAGTTCTGGAGGCCAGGAAAGGGCTATAATGGGAAACAAACCCAGAAATGTTTCTTGTTTTTGTGTAACTCATAGGCTCCTGGAAAGAGAGACTTTAATCCAAAGTCCCACGCATACAATGTAAAATTGCAAATGATGTTATCAGAGCTCAGAATGTGGGACTTTATCTAGTTGAGATCAGCAAAGACTTAGCCGGCAAATTGCCACTGAGTTGAGATCTACAGGAGGACCAGAGTGAATAGGATATGGAGTATGGGAAGAGCACGCCAGACAGAGGGAATGGCGTGTACGAGGCCAGGTGATGTGAGTGGACAGAGTGAGGAGGAGGAATTGGCCCAAGGCCAGCAGGATGAAACATGCGTAGAAATGGAAAGTGCACTTTAAGAAAGGCCAGGTTAAAAGAATATTGTGTAGGCAACTAAGTAGCAATGTGACCTTCGGTAAGTCACACATTTCTATGTCTCCATTTAATACCCATAATGCAGGGATGATGGCATCTACCCTACAGAGCAGTTGCTATTATCAGTTGCAATGTTCACACATAGTAGAGACTCAACATATGGTAGTTATGGATTATTTTGGGGTCTGCTGGGCACTGAACTATGTTATATGAAAACATTGAGAATATTTCATTTTGAGAAAATAGTGAGAATAATTCCAAACTGTTGCAAGTTTGCTCTGTTCACCATAATCACATCCTGCCACTGTGGCTGGAGACGGTAGAGTGAGATTTAAGAGAGGCATACTATGACGTGCCTGGCATGGACATAAGGAGACCTGTTGCATGTGAACAGAACTCTGACTGCTCCAAAGCCTCAGCTCCCATTCATCCCCTGAAAGATTCCACTACGTAGATCTGTCTTCTTTTCCTTTCTTTCAGGTCGTTCTTCCTTTAATTGATCAGTATTTCAAAAACCATCGTTTATACTTCTTATCTGCAGCAAGCAGACCTCTCTGCTCTGGAGGACATGCTTCCAACAAAGAGAAAGAAATGGTGACTAGGTAAACAGCTATAAAAATAAGCACTGTTGTATGACTTAGGTGTATATGCAGTTGCAAAGAAAACCTGAGGACCTTGAAGTGGGGCTGTACGGAGAGTATCTGCCCATTTCCCTGGTCCGTGTCTTCATGGAAACAAATACTAGACAAAAACAGTTTCTACAAGTTTGGATATGTGTTCTAGATGTTGAGTTTCTTTATATTTTGCTGCTAAGTGTAATGGTGGATAGAAGGATAAAATATCACTCATTTCACAATCTACACATAGAGGCCGGATATGCATCACCCTATTAGTATTTGTGATAAATGGTACTTTTGACATTAGTTTCTTTAATGTTTCCACAAATCTGATATTTTTGCCAGCATTTATTGTTCAGAAGAAAACCCCACATATACAAATTTAATTTAAAAATAATGACCAATGTTGGAAGAAAATGAAGTAAAGATACCTATAAAATTTCTGAAGCTTTCCCCTCTTAACAATGCTTTCTCATTTCTGTTTAAACCAAAGGGTTCTTTATGGACTCAGTTGTGATTCTGCTGGGGATATCAGGTCCTTTTACTCAAACTTCTGCTAGAATTTAATATACATGAGAATCAATTACAGAGCAAGTTTACTTCTCTAATATTACATTGCCCAAAAGTCCATACCAAGCTTTTAGATTGTATCGGAACAAAATTTCTATAAAAGTGAATACACAGTATAAAGCAGAACACTGGAGAAAATACAGACTTTCCTTGGACTTGACGTCGATGCTGTGCTGAAAGGCAGTACGGTCTCCACCTATTAGACAGAGTGAGATGAGATTGCATACAGCCTCCGTGAGAGGGTGGAGAAGTGGAAAGATTCCTGCACTACGTAACACTGGGGAATGCAGCTGGAGTGGAATTGTCAGTTCATCTCTTTCACTTATTGTCTATTTTACCAAGTAGCAAGTGGCCAGTCATGTGATATGGGATTGCAACAGTATAAAACATGTCCTCAAACTTCTTCAAATGATAATTTTCCTATAAAATTGATTATAGTTAAAATAACAGCAGGAATCCATCCCAGCGGCGTGCTTTGTTTCCACAAATTGCTGCCACATGGAGAGAGGCAATGCAGTTACTTTCCAAGATGTGAATTTCCACCCCTTCCCACTTGAACATGGCCTTCCTTCCCACCTTCACTGGGAGGGAGAGCAGCTCCTCCCTCATCATTTCATAAGCACCACATCCAGTACTCTGGGCCAGTATCCCCCTGTGGATTGTGAGTGCACGCAAGTAGCTAGAATATCTCAAGGCACCAAGTTACCCTTAAACGTCGTGAAATTGAGGACACGTTGAAGTCTCCTACTCCTCCCTGGGTCTGTTAGCCTTTTTAAATAGGAACTTTGTTCTCAGAGGGTGTTGTTAATCTAGCTATCACTTAGTTACATAAAGATAAAATCAGAAAATAGAGAAAAATTCAAATAAATCAATGCAAATTCTGCTATTTTCCTCCTCTCCTGTCTTGTGTTTTATTATCTCCATTCAGTTTCAGCCTTACCCTTAGAACTATTCACTGAGCCCATACTATGCATATATCGAAGCATCCAATTGTGTGTTTTGGGTATATATGATCTGTATTTGTTAATTATACCTCTATAAAGCTGGAAAAATTTCATGGAACTATACACCAAAAAAGAAAATTGGCCCATTTACCTTGGCCAATTCTGTATCCCTCATAGAATAAATCAGAGGTACATCGCTATTTTGTGCTAGCCTCAGTTGATGTCCCTTTGGGGCTCTAGACTAACCCTAGACCACCCCTCTCTCTAATGACACTGCACCAGAATATCTTTAATTATAGTCATGCACCACATAACAACATTTCAATTAATTTTGGACCACATGTATGATAGTGGCCCCATACTATATTTTTACTAATTTTTTTAGATATGTTTAGATATACAAATACCATTTTGTTACAGTTGCCTACAGTATTCGGTACAGTAACATGCTGCACAAGTATGTAGCCTGGAGCAATAGGCTATACCATTTAGGTTTGTGTAAGTACATTCTATGATGTACTTATATCATGGTCTTATGGGAATAACAGTGAAATTGCCTAATGAGGTATTTCTCAGACTGAATCCCCATCATTAAATGATGCATGACTGTATTTCATCTTCAGTTTTTCTTCTACTAATAGAAAAAGCGTTGGTAAATTTTACTTCTCCCATTGGTATTTCCCAAAAAAAGGAGCATGTGCCATTTAAAATTCCAACACATAGAAAATGAGGTGCATAATAAAAGTAACTTATGTTATTACAGTACTTTAGTGCCAAACATAGCTAGAATTTAACCTCAGAGAGAAAGAAAATCATAGAGGAAAATATGAATAAGGAAATGATAAATGATGGTGCATGTCTGTACAAAATGCTGTGCAGTCATTAACATTATGATGGAGATGAGTATAATACTTTCGGAAAATGATCATGATAAAATATAAAATATATGCTCAAATAGTATTAACTTTTAAAGGGAACTTAATTTGTATGTATAGAAAAATATTGGTAGGGTATAAACTCAATAGATAGAAAACTGGCCCTGCCACTATGAATAAATAAGCATGTCTTCATTCGCATGATAAACACTATGATAATGGTTTTAAGTGTTTAACAGACGTGAGTAGCAATAGTTGTGTGGGTTTGAGTTAACTTTTCCACAATTAAAACCAATGTTTCCATGAGATGTTTAGATACTTCCTGGCACAAGAAATTATTATATACTGAGCATTTGCTGTATCGAAGGTCAGTACTGTCGTGTCTGGAGTATACTTTGCAGTAGCTAAATACGTGAATATGAGTATAGCCCTAGTGAAAGCCAGGCAGTAAGATGGGATTCAAAGTAAAGTAAGACCACCTTGGGTGGATATAGAGGGGCGAGAGATTTATGGAAATCAAGCCAGTCAAAGTTGATCTTGAACAACTTGTAGGTCAGAGATTAACAAAGGAACATATTTTCTAAATGTAGATAACTACATAAATAAAATGTAGAAGCTGGTAATTTAGGGGAAAGGTAGGTTATATAGATGGTAATGGATATTAACTGTCAGAATCAGGAATTTTCTTCTTAAAATTCTATCACAATTTTTTTAACCTAATTCATTAATACTAAGAAGCTATTAAAGCTTTTTATGTGAAAGAATGATCAGAGCTTCCCTCTGAGAAATACAGTCTGGCAGCAAAGGTATGATTGATGAGAGTGGGAGAGTTGGGAGGCCATGGCAGGCACCTGGAGGCCAAGACAGCAACCCAGGCTATAGTGTTGGAAGTGCTGCCTCAAATAGGTGGTGCTGCCCACTGATCCATTTAGCAGGTGGGTCTTTTTCTTCTTCTTCTTCTTTTGAGGTAGAGTCTCACTCTGTCGCCCAGGCTGGAGTCCAGTGGCATGATCTCGGCTCACTGCAACCTCCGCCTCCCAGGTTCAAGCAATTCTCCTGCCTCAGCCTCCTGAGTAGCTGGGATTACAGGCACCCACCACCATGCCCGGCTAATTTTTTTTTTTTATTATTTTTAGTAGAGATAGGGTTTCACCATGTTGGCCAGGCTGGTCTTGAACTCCTGACCTCAGGTGATCCGCCCACTTCTGCCTCCCAAAGTGCTGGGATTACAAGCATGAACCACCGTGCCCGGCCTCGTTCAGATATTTCTGAATGCCACCTATGTACGGCAAGCTGTCTGAGGCCTGAAGATAAACACACACACACACAATAACACAGTTCCTAACTTTAATAAATTTAGAACTACAGCCAAGTAGACACGTACATATAGAGCTAACTCTACAGGAAGTTGTGATGAGTGTCAGTGGAGACATCTACAGAGTGCTGGGAATATAGAAGAGATGTAAACAGCAGCTGGGGTGAGAAACAGGGAAGAGAGAAAGTCAACATGACTTGGCGATGAGTAATATGGCAAGTAGAAAAAGGTCCAACTTGGTGCTGAAATTTCAACTCTGGGTAGTTGGAACATTGTTGGTATCATGAATAGAAACAACATATTTCAGAAAAAGAATCGTTTCGAAGAAGAGGTTACATTTGGTCAGGTATTTATCGGAGTATAAGGTACCCGCAGGTCATTCAGTTGGAGAAATCCAGCAGATTGGAAATATTAGCATGTGGGGTTAATTGAGAGATTAGAGCAAGAAATGACATATTTGGGGATTATCTGAACACATATATATATATATATAATGCTTGAAGCTCCGAGGAAGTAGATAAAACTGAAGGAGAGTAGAGAAAGAGGCAAAAGGTTTTGAATACCCTGGAGAATTATTACATTTACAGGGTTTTTGGAAATAGGTCTTTGAAGAACATCAAGAATGGTTAATTAGAGAGAAAAAAAAAAATACTGTAAACAAAATCCAAGGAAGGTAAGAGTTTCACGATTTAAGTAATAAACAATGCCAAGTACTGTTGACAGAACTCCAAAAAAGAAAAGGTTATTATCTTTGCTCATTAGGGGCATTGGTGAGCTGCAAAGGAGTGTTTTAGTACAAGACAATGAGTAAATGCTGAAGAAGTAGATGCCTTATAAATTCTGGAGAATGTTGGAAATGAGGGGAAGCAGAGAAAGGGGACAACAGTATTATAGAAAATATTTTTTAGAGAAAATATAGGCTAAAGCTTATAATAATTAATCCTTATAGTTTCTATGAATACCATGCCCTAAAAGTGGATTGCACAGGAGGGGAAAGAGTTACAATTTGCCCTCTTTGAGGACCTTGCCTTCTGTATCTGTATTTCTCTCTGGTGGCACATGTGGTGAGGAATCAGCAGAGATTGTCAAGTCCTTTTTCTCTGACAGATTTTCAGGCATTACATATAATTTGATAAATGAGACATAGAGCAGTCTGCCATTATAGCAAAACATCCTAGGTTTGGATTAATTGAGTAAGACCTAATCCTAGCATTATAAATTCTGGATCATCAAGAATATCTCAGAATGTTTCACTCTGGATACTAGAGAGGAATAGGTAAAATACATGACTTAAAATAGATTGGAGTACAGGGATCCAAAGTATGTACAATTCTAAACTGAATTATTCTCTTTAGAAAAAGGCAGACCCTGTCTGAGTTAGCACACACAGCTGTCAGCCATAAAGCTCAGTAGATAAGGGCACGTGGACAAAGTTTCTCCTGTTTTATTGTCTTAAAATTATAGCACAAAGATAAATAAGGCAGGTCAAGGGCCTCATGACTAATCTTATGTCTAGTAGCCACTTGAATAGATCATTGTTTTAAAAATATTTTGTTCTGATAAGAAATTCCCCAAAACCTCAGATTCACTCAGACATTTGTAGATGAACATTTTCTTGGAAAACTACAAAATACCCTACATAATTTTCATCAATACATGAATCCACATTGTTACAGAAGTGAGGGGTGATGGCCAAAACTTACTGTAAAAGAGGTCAACCTCACAAACGTTACCTTCTCTGCTTCCCTCTCTTCCCATCCTGCCACTGATCAGCCAAGCCACTTTCATGGTATTCCATGGCTGGTCTGTATCCCTAGTCCTGGGGAGCTGCACGTTTGATCACAGCTGTTAATGCAGAGTTTTGCAAGAGAACATAGTCAGTGAGGACTTAGCTGTTCTCGTTATTGGGAAAAATCAAGCTGAGTGTGGGTGGTACTATACACATGGATCTTCAAGGTTAGATTTTCTGGGGTGAGTGCTGGCTGGGTAGAGCCTGTGCTCTCTGAGAGCTGAGAAGAGCGTGAGTAGATTTGAAAATAATGTCACTTGTATTGGTAGAGATTTGCAAATGGCCCCTGAGAGCATCTGGGTATGGACCTCTTGCAGCCTGGGTTGGGAGCTGTACAGGAGGGCTGGATGTCAGAACGCTGACCTACTTATTTTATTGAGTTTATTTAGTTTAATGAGTTTATTCTTGGAAGAAACTCATTCTGAGCTGAGTTTTGAGGGACGAGTAGATGGGAGGATAGCATGGAAATGAGTGAAGGGTATTTCTCAAAATAGGGACCTGTGAGGATCCCACCCAGCTGAGGCTTGGTGAAAAGAAAGGACAAACAGCAGGGATCTCCCAGGTTCAAGTGTCTGATCTGAGAGTTAGTGGATACCAGCGTTGTCAGGCTGAATGCTGAATGTGGGCAGCCATTATTTGGAATGGCTCATTGCTAATTGCCATGAAGGACTCAAAGACACAGGAACCTGCTCTGGAGCAGATAAGAAATATACTGAACTTATAGGTATCCAGAGACTTTAAGTTATCACATCTGTAATGCTTTCCTCTGAGTGATTATCAGTTGCTCAAATTCTGTTCCTACTTTACTGTATTCAAATTCACTGGATGCTTACGTTACGTAAGGAGTGTGATCAAGGTTGGGGACGAAGGAGATTTCAAATAATAAAACATATTAAAACTTAAAGTAACATTGTATGCCCGAAGCACCATACGTCTGTTGTAAAATAAAATAATGTCCATATATATATTTTTTAAATCCAGAGTTTCAGTGGTACATTTGGGCAGATAAAACCAAATTTTTTCCTGGTGGTTTTTCAGTAGTTATATCCTTATGGGGTTCATATAGATTGCTTTTATATTAATTAGCTTTGCTTTCAATTTTTTTTGGTTTCTTATAATATGTGCTTTTTTAACCATGTTTGTTAAAGAGATGCACTCAAAGACTCTTTCTTTAATACCTTTACTCCACATTCTGCTCAGAGAATTGATTCTTTCTGCGTGACATCATGTTGCTTTTTTCCGGCTCATATATCAGCTGTTTTTTTTTCTTTTTTCTTCTTCTTTTTTTTTTTTTTTTTTAATTTCCCCCTGTCTTTTCTACCTTCCCTTCCCCCTTCCCTTTTCTCTTTTGTTTTTCTTTTGTCTTCAGCCTATTCTGCAAACTTGGAGTTCTTGTCAGGCATAGGATTTCACTATTTGGTAAGGAGACCCTTGAAAAAATACAAGCATGGCCATCACTTGGTTTTCTTTGCCATTTTTGCACTGTGTTGTGTGCTGCTATGTTGCATGGATGCATGTTTGCATGGCTGCATGCATGGTCGTTGCAGGCCAAGATAAGGTCCTCGAGGTTGTTCATAAATAGCATTATGTATGGTGAAATTGAGGACTCTATCTTTTTTACACTAGTCCAAAGCATAACTGAAAGTAAAAAGACTATTATTAAAGAGCAAATGAATGAAAATGGCAGGCTGTGCCGTATTTTATCTCAGGGGTAAAAACAAAACAAAGCCAGGCCCTTGGATTTGTGTTTGGTTACCTCTGACAGATTAAATAATGAGCTGTTATAAATCAAAATTTTAAACTGCACTTATTTTTTTTAATGCTCTTGACTACAGATTTGCATGTCTTCTGCATTCCAAACATTGGAACGTCATAGTCAAGACACTGAAGCCAAGGAGCTTCGGAGCTTCACTTGGCAAGAGTGGCTTTTCTAGCACCACTCACTCCAGGGTCAGTTTCTGTTTGTTTCTGAGAATTCACCTAGCTGGAGTCCATGTTCCAGAGCACCTGCTTCCGGACAGCCATGCAGGGTGGGCACTCACTTTCCGCAGATTTTCCCTGCCGTGGGGCTTTAGAATCTTTAGTGGCTGGTGGAATTTGTGTTTCACACTTTCCTGCATCCGATTTTATAAACTGCCGAAGAAAATGTGAACCCTTTGCTCTCTAGGTTTTGAGACAGTGTTGGAGTAATTTTAGTAATAAAACATTGAATGTATTGCTAGAGGTATTATAAGTTCAATTCTATTTACAGGACAAGCTAAGGATTAAAAAAATTAAGTCATTTCTACAAAGTCACAGTTAAACTGAGGAACGGGTATATATATATACATATATATATATACACACACACACATATGCACAAATAAGTTCTTCACATTACACTTTTTGAGAAATAATAGTTTCTGGATATAGTAGGTTATTGCTATATTTGGTTTCTAGTATTATATCCAAGATTTGGTGCTCTTAAATTTAGTAATGAAAATTTATATTTCATTAAAATTGCCTGAGTTTTTACATTAATATTTCAGTTATTTAAAATCAATGGGGCAGTTATCTTTAGAATAATTTCTAGTTCACTGACTTTTGTTTAACTTCTCTTCAACAGAGAAATATTTTCATGGGCTTATTCAGGCAGGATTTTCATACACTCTTTAACCTTCTCAGAATAACAGTGGATTCAAATATTCTCCATTTGTCTTCAGCAAGTGCTATCTAATTATACATATCAGCTGCCCTTTTGCGGTCTTATTAATGAGCATAATAATACTTTCTATGGTGCTATTTCTAACTTCCTGCTTATTGTATATCCTTCTTTTCCTGTTATACCTCATATAATTTCCTTTAAAATTTTTTTGAGGTATTCCATACCTGAACTACAAAATCCTAAGAACAACTTGGCTAGGTGTGGTGGCTCATGCCTGTATCCCAGCACTTTGGGATGTCGTGGTGAGAGAATCACTTGAGGACAGGAGTTCAAGACCAGCTGGGGCAACATAGCAAGACCTTGGCTCTACAAAAAATAAAAATAAAAAATTAGCCAGGTGCAGTGGTGCACACCTATAGTCTTAGCTACACAGGACGCTGAGATGGATGGATCACTTGAGCCCAGGAATCTGAGGTAGCAGTGAGCTATGATCACACCACTGTACTCTCATCTAGGAAACAGAGCAAAACCCTGTCTCTAATACAAGCAAATAAAAAGAACAACTTGATGAAAATGTATATGCATATACAACCATTTAATCATAGCTCAAGCCAAGACATAGAACGTTTCCAACATGCCAGGAGCCTCCCCTGTGTCATTTTTCAAATTATAACCATCTCCAGAGGAACTATATGTAGACTCCATTCTATGGATTCTTTTCAGCTGTTCTTGAAATTCCATTTTTGTTGAATATATCATTTAAGTTTGGTTATTGAAGATAAATGTATAATACAGTTTGTCATGCTTGTTAGGGGTGAAAAACTAGACCTTAACATTAGTTCCTTCCCTGTGTGGTCCTAGTATTTCAATTAGACATTGTGGTTTCATCCCTTAGCCTTTTAATACTATTATTTTTATTTTTAAGGGGAATTTATTGGAGACCTGGTATGTTTTCTTTATATCTCAAAGCGCATTTTTGCACATTTTTATATTATTAAAGTGTATGTTATTGTTTCAAATTTGCTTTGATATTTGCCTATAAAATATAAACTTCAACATGGCTTTATTAATCAAACATCTAGTACAGATTTGCCAAATTATTAGAATCTTTAAGTCTTTTTTTTTTTTTTTGAAAGAGTTTCACTCTTGTTGCCCACCAAGCTGGAGTGCAATGGTGAGATCTCATCTCACTGCAACCTCCGCCTCCCAGGTTCAAGCAATTTTCCTGCCTCAGCCTCCCAAGTAGCTGGGATTACAGGCACACGCCACCACACACGGCTAATTTTTAGTAGAAACGGGGTTTCACCATGTTGGCCAGGCTGGTCTCGAACTCCTGACTTCAGGTGATCTGCCCACCTCGGTCTGCCAAAGTGCTGGGATTACAAGTGTGAGCCACCGTGCCTGGCCAAATCTTTTAAGTCTTAAGCATTTAAGCTTCACATATTATGGGTATTGGTATAGTATTTAAATGTCACATATTATGGGCTGTAGATGCTAATATGACATCCTAGAGAGAATAGTGGGTTTGGAATCAGAAAACCTAGTTGTAAGTCCTATTTTTCTAACTTAACAGCTGAATGATTTGGACAAGGGACTTAAATTCTCTGAACCTGCATTTTTTCATTGTTAAAGTGGGCTAAAATACCTAATAAACCTAGAGATCAATTTTTTGTGAAATAATTCATGTTAAAGTGCTATGTAAAGTGTAACCTTATAGTTTTCACATATAAGATGTTTCTAGTCTTATTAAAATTATTAGATTTTATTAACTTATCTAAAGCTTATTATACTTTATTTACATAAATTACATACTAAACTAGTAGACTTAGCCCTTTAAAATACACACACAGGGCCAGGCACAGTGGCTCACGCCTGGAATCCCAGCACTTTGGGAGGCCAAGGCGGACAGATCACTTGAGCTCGGGAGTTCAAGACCAGCCTGGGAAACATGGCGAGACCCCATCTCGACTAAGAATACAAAAAATTAGCCATGTCTGGTGGCATACACCTTTGGTCCCAGCTACTCAGGAGGCTGGGGTGGGAGGATTGCTTGAGCCTGGAGGGCAGAGGTTGCAGTGAGCCAACATTGCACACCACACACACAAAAATACACACAGTAAAGCCTTTATAATACACCCATTTCCAGAATGAATCAGAAGTGTTATAACCCAACTATTTACTTTTTGATTTATCAGCTATGCCAGTGTGGATTTTTCCAAACAGAGAGACCCAGTAGCATATATGCAGTGCTTGTTTGTATATGGTCATATTAATCTATTCTTTTTCAGTCTACTTTTATCATTTTCTTGCATTTTGGCAGGAAATACATTGATTATCAATGGGATTACAAGCGTGAGCCACCACGCCCGGCCAAATCTCTAAGTCTTAAGCATTTAAGCTTCACATATTCCCTGTACTGTCTTGTATTTCCTGTACTATCTTGGTTTAAAGATTTTTTCATGACCTAAACCTAAGAGTAAATTAAGACAGAATTGAAAGTTGAGGTTGACAAGAAAATACTTGAGTTTTGTGATGATCAGAGAAGGTAAGGATGTAGAAAGATACATGTTAACCTTAAATATGTCAGAAAGTGGAGACAGGACAGGAGCATTAAAAAAAAATGAAGAGACAAAATACATGTTCTGGTGGTAGTAATTGTGGTGAGCAGAGTTTGATGGGTAATGGAATATTTATTCTAGGTTGGCTGCCACATTGTAATTATATCTCCAAACCTCGCCTGTGGTTGAAATATTTTTCTGACATATGAAATGAGGATTCTCAAAACTTTGGCTTTTATATTTTTTGTTATCTACTTTAAAATATTTCTTCTGCATTGATGGACACTATACAGGAATTAAGATAATAGTGTTTTTATGCCTAATCTATTATTTTTGAGACATTTAAACCATTTTATGTTATGTTTAAAAAGCTAAGGTTTTTAAAAAGGAAGACAAGCGGTATTACCCATAGAATTCTGATGAATCAATTAGAATAATTTATGGAATGAAAAAGAAAGAAAATAGCTTCTTGTCTAAATATAGGCTTCCCTGTTTGAATTCTGAAATGCTTGCTAGTGATTATAAGTTGGTGCACATAACGAATTTTGGAAATCCAGGTAGGACATAAATAGGACGTAGGCAGGTTGACAAGTGATATCCTTATCATTTGCCATTTTCAAGGACCAGTGTTGACTAAAGAAACAGTGCTTTGATTCCCAGAGTTACCCCTGACTTTTGCTGCCTAGAAATTCTGATTACTATTTTCAAGGCAGTTAGAGGATACATTAGCCCTTCTATTACAGTCTGTTAGAATCTTTCAATCATTTTTAGAGGAAGCAGCATCTGATAACTAAGAGTCCAACAGTAATAATGATGGTGGCACAGGTGGTGCTTATCAGAGTGCCTTAAAGGCTTTCTTTTTACATGTGAAAATAAATCAAATGCCTTGATGATACTCATTTTATGCATTCATTCAATAAACATGTATTGTATGTCTGCCACGTGAAAGGCATTCACTCAAGATGTGAGGATAGGAAAATGAAGATTGATTTCTCTTTCCACTCCGGAACCCAGACCAATATGCAAACATCTTTCGCTTGTACTATTGCAGGAGCATACTGACCATTCTCTCTGAATCCCCTCCTGCTTCTCTCAACTGTGTTCCACGATGATCTTATCAAATCTTCTCAAAACACACTTCTCTGATTACACTCCTGCATATTCAGTGGCTTCCCATGCCTTTAGGGTAGAAAGCACGTTTCTTAACCTAGCCACATTAGTGTTTCACCGTCCATTCCCCATGGGCCACTCCGTCCTCGTGTCCCAGCCCAGTCTCTCCTCCTCCCTATGCTTCTTCAGCTTCCTTGGCCTTCTCTCTGCCTCTTGAATGTGTTAGATTCCTTTCTGCCCAGGGTTTTTGCACATGCTGTAATTATCGCCTGAGTAAAGGACCCTCACACATAATTACTCATCTCCTCAATCCTTCACACTCATAACAAACTATCCATCCTTCAGACTTCAATCCAAATATTACTGTCTCAAGAAAGGCTTCCCTGACCTCCTTGATAATACTCCGTCCTGCTACTATTATAATAGTCTCTGGTGCCGTGTACTTTTCCTCCATGTCACTGATGGTATGCCTACCAGATTAATATCTCTCTTCTCTCGCATAAACTCTCAGCTCTGTGAGGTCTTCCTGTTGCACTCTCAGTGCCTGGCAGGAAGTCTGGCACACAGTAAATATTTTATGAATATATGATGAATGAATGAATGAATGAGCCACCCAGGTCCGGCCTTCAAGAAGCCTATAGTCTAATAGAGAAGGTAGATAAGTACGCAGACACTTACTATGAGACAAGTGCTAAGAACGTGGAAATTTTCTTACATTCACGAATGACACAGCTTTCCTTTGTTTATTTTGCTTAAGAGATTATTAAGAAAAATGTAGTACCTAATTATCCTACAATTGGTGAGAATCATGTTTTTTTTTTTTTTCTCTTATTCCTTAAGAGGTCCATGAAAACACTTAGGCCACTTACAGTGAATAGAAAATAACACATAATTAATGACCCTTAAAATAATAAGATCATGAAACTCAACCAACAATGATCCTTTCAGTTCCAGGAACTATTTGAAAAGGCAGGCATGAAATATTTGTCACTTATAGGCCTTTTCTACTTTCCAGTTTTCTGGTGCCTTTTTAACATCCTAGTGAGACATTGAATGACCTGGACACTCCTCAGAGTTAGTGGAGAATTTGTGAATTAATCACATAGGTACATCTAGGAATACCTGATGTTATTACAAAAAGCCAGCATTTTGTAATACAATGAGCATAATACTGACCTAGAACCCAATGTATAACATCATTAATACAACTCCAATATTAGCTACAGGAGTATTAAACAAGATAAATATTATTATGTGTTTAACATGAAACAGTAGCTGTTGTTAAAATATTCAGTTTTTTTCTAGGTGAGTATGCCTGACTTATACCAGTAGATAAATCTTAATGTTACGTTTGGAAGAGTTTTAAAAGTAGATACTAAATAAAGTAATACAATGGAGCCTATCAACTCTTATTTCTACCTAATCAATAAATTAGTGGATTAAGTTTATGTTGATACTTCTAATATCTCTCCCAAAAAACACTGACGTCTTTAAATGATGATTTCTGTCTTATCTCAGAAGTTATTATATTAGAAAATTAATATGTTTGTGTTATCTCTAACAAGGCTCAGATTGTGCTTGTGTTTGGTAGGACACATATAATAAAAGAAAAATTGGCCGGGTGCGGTGGCTCACGCCTGTAATCCCAGCACTCTGGGAGGCTGAGGCGGGCGGATCACAAGGTCAGGGGATCGAGACCATCCTGGCTAACAAGGTGAAACCCCGTCTCTGCTAAAAATACAAAAAATTAGCCGGGCGTGGTGGCAGGCGCCTGTAGTCCCAGCTACTCGGGAGGCTGAGGCAGGAGAATGGCGTGAACCCAGGAGGTGGAGTTTGCAGTGAGCCGAGATCATGCCAGTGCACTCCAGCCTGGGCGACACGGCGAGACTCCCTCTCAAAAAAAAAAAAAAAAAGAAAAATTACTTAAAGTACTCAGAATCACTGCAGATAGAAGCATATTTGAGGATTCAGTGTGCCATTAAGTTGAGAATGTAATGGTTCAATCATGCGCAATCTGTAACTATTTTCTTATCCTTGTTATTCGTAGCTGGAGGATCATTGAGATCTTTCTCTAATTTAAAAATTCTGTAGTACTATGACAATATGCATGGCAAAAACAACTATTTCCTGGATTTAACTTATTATATATACTGTAAAAAATCCTATTTTTTTAGAGAAGTTCAGAAATATTGGAATTAGATGCCTATAATGAAAGTAATAAAGTATACATAGCATTAGATCAACATAGTATTAGAGCGATACAGATAATTCTTTCAGTTGAACATAGCATTATAGGAGAATTTCCTGGCTTTGAAAAATGAATAGAATATGTAGTTATTCAAAATGTGTCCTCGGTTTGACTGAAACTCCTCACCAAATTAGGGAACCAATAATTTTACTCTGTTCAATATCACAGACTTTAGAAATAACAAAGTCATTGACACTCTGCAATTTCTCTCTATTCCCTCATAATTGTGAGAGAAATTTGTAAGTTCTGGCACAGTGGTATTTCACATTGTTAATAGAATTCTGCCAAGATTAATCATTTCTTCAGAGAAAAGAATACAATATTAGAAAAGTAGAGAAAAATAAAAAGTACAATGACTGCTATCACTGTTTCCAGAAGAGAGAGAAGTCAACATTCTGTGAATTCTCAGCATATCAGATTATAAAACAGAACTGGCATATGATATGTCAAATTTAACATTGAGAATTCCTGAGTTATAGAAACTTTATTTAAAAAAACAATTTGGGATTAATATGCAAAAATTATTTATAGTTATATTATGTAATTTGTTGTTTTTATTATTTAGAGAGTCATATATGAGAGTTGTTATAATTTGTTTAAAACCCAATGTTGTCCCTATTGTTATTAGACCCAGGTGTAAGTTATTATTTTAATTATGTACTTTTTATGTTTACGTACACCTTGATGCACTGATATAAATACACAATCTTAAGGACAAATAGGCAATCTATCATTGTTTCCCTGAGTGCTCAGAGGTGATGAGAGGTGTGTATCTGAGGACAAGGGAAATAGCTGGGTCCTTGAAATACTGTGAGTTGAAAAGTATCAATCTTTTGGTTTTTTCACCACCCAGAGCAATGAATCAATTATGTAAACTTAAGTACATAAAAATCCAGTTGCCACCTGAAAGTTTTATCATCTTACAAAACTCTGCTGGCCCTTCCTGTTCTTCCTGATAACGTGATTGACATTTCTGATTATGGTAATCTGGATAGCTTTAAGAAGGACAATATTTAAGTCATTATTTTATTGAAAAGCCTTACCACATGCTTTACCTCTTCAAGACTCACATTATTTTAGGCTTCTTACACATGCTAATGGGATTGACACTTTTGCCTGGTCTACAAATTAAAATATTGAAGACTCTACTTTTTCTGCCTTCTTAGAGTCCCTTTCCCATTTTTTACATAGAGGTGTTTCTATTTAAAGTTGTGCTGTGTCTAAAAGGGGTCTACCAAGATGTAAAAATGTGTGGAGTTCAGTTTATTCCTTTAGCAATCACAGAAATTTCATATTCCCAATACACAGTTTCAGTCAACCCACAGAATTTGTCTGGCTCCTGGTGCTGTTTCCTACTCTTCTTACATCCCAGAGACAGTCCACAAATATTTTAAGGGCCTGCTGTATGTCAGACACTATTCTAGGTGCAGGGAACAAAGCAAACAAAAATCCCAGCCTGCCAGGCTTATATTAATAGAAGTTTAAAGTATCCCTGGCCACCCCTCATGGAAAAGGGCACAGGAAAACTCAGTACCAAGTACAAACACTGATAATCTATAATAAGAGCAGATTGGAAGGGAAAGGGACAGACAACTGAGTGTTTAGGAAAAATGAAGGACCTGCCTCTCTGATTTGGGGCTGATTAATAGTGGCATAGGACTCATATACGTTGCACTGGATCTCTTCCTCCTCATGGGCCTTCTCTTTCCCATTGTCTATACTGCATCTTTCTTATCTTCTCTGCCTCCAAACACTGGAGGCCCTAGGCCTTTTTTCTTCTTACTTATATTCATGCTGGCTAGTTTCATTGAGACCCACGATGTTTAGAATTAAATGTATGTTTACAATGCCCAAGTGTATAGCTCTGGCTTAGATCTCTTCCCTGCACTGCAGACTTTTTTTTTTTTTTCAATCAATTGCCTATTCTACATCTTTACCCGAATTACTAATAGGCCCATCACACTTAATATGTGCAAAGCAAGGGTCAGGACCCCATCCCCCACCCCCGCCGCATCCCCTTCCTCCCACAGTCTGCTTCTTCTCGTTCTCTTTCTACACCATTCAGTGGTGCCGCCTTTCACCTAATTACTCAGGCAGAAAACCTTAGAGTTATCCTTGACTGCTTTCCCGCTCACCTCACATTCAATCCATAAGTAAATCCTTCAAATATATATTCTCAAGTTCTTCACCACTGATATCCTAATCTGAATTCACCATCATCAGTGAACTGATTCCGTTCCTGCAGTAGGTCCCTAATTATCTTCCACTTTTGCTCTTCCAGAATTTCCCACATAGGGAATTAATTCTTTGAAAATATAAATCGTATCATATCCCATCCTGCTCAAAACCTAAGAATGTCTTCCTACCGCACTGAAAATCCAAGGGCTTGCTCTAACCAAGCTCTAGAACCTGACCTCTCCCAACCTCTCCAACTCATACTCTGCTTCTTTCCTCTTGCTCTGACTCCCTTAGCCACTTGACCCTCTTTGCTTGGAACACCAGGTTCATTTTTTGCCTCAGAGCCTTTGCATGGGCTCTTCCCTGTACCTGGATCTCCTTCTCAGATACATGGATGGTTTATTTCTTCATGTCATTCCAACCTCTGCTCAAATGCCGCCTCCAGGAAGGACTCATGAGCACTATCCCTGTTATTCTACCCAGTTTCTGTAGGTGTGTGTGTGTGTGTATATATATATAGTATATATATATAATATATATTTATATAATATATAATTGCATATTATATATTATGTTATATATTATATAATTATATCATATATAATTATATAATATATATTTATGTAAATATATATTATATGATATATAATATATTTATAGAAATATATATTATATAATATAATTATATATAATCTTTTTGTATATAACAAATATTTTTTATATATATTTAACTGTGGCCTGCTATTATGTTATATGCTGATATTTTGCTAAATGATTTTTTTTTTTTTTGCTTACTGATTCGTTATCTATATCCCCCTTTAAAATGCAAGTACCATAAGGACTATTTTGTTCATTACTGGAAATTTGAGAGTGCCTGGTTTTAATCTTTCTTTGTTAAGTGAATTAATCATCAAATGAATACTTCTAAGAGTTCCAGGAGAAGCCCCAGAGCTGGCATCTGCCAATGGACAGGAAAATAAAAAATCCTACCATTCTGCTCATTTTGTCTTCATTATTACCAGGAATTCTGAGACTTGAAGCACAAGATGAGGGAATATTTTCATGAATAACTCAGAATCTCAGTAATAAATACCTTATTTTTTCTTATTTGTATCATATCACTAAACTGGCTTGCCCATGTTCTAATACAATTATTAATTTCAGTGTGTACTTAGGTCATTCATTTTAGGTTACTTTTTGTATAAAGAATATAACATATACCAGTATTACAAAAACTTACATTCAGATAATAGTTGTCAATCTCAGGACCCAGGAGATGATAGTGTGTGTGTGTGTGTGTGTGTGTGTGTGTGTGTGTGTGTGTGTGTAATGAGGAACTGATCATGTCAAACTATATTGTAAGTGGTCAAATTATTTTGTTACCTTGAATTCATCATTTTATTTGCTTTCTGTATCCCCATTACGAAGAAAAATATATGTAATGCTTTTATCACTCATATTTCTGTACTTCCTTGTAAAATATGCCAATCAAAATGAGTGAATTTTATATTACTTTCAAGAGGAGTTACTACCATCTGAAAATCTCAGAGGAGTATTATTTAACTTCTTTAGTGTCTGATTTTTTTTTTACATGACGTTTTGGTGCTTTTTGGTTTTTGCCAAAGACCAATAACATTCAAGGAAATTAATTTACCTTCATGCAATGGAATTCAGGCAAATTAATTCATCTTAATGCAGTGGGATGAAATAAGAAAGCAGAATTTTTGGTGCAATTAGAATGGAATGAAAATTTTTAAACTTTAAGCCCACCTTATTTCATAAAGGATATGAGCTGACTTTAAAAGTTTGTAAACAATAAGATTTAAAAATACAGTGAGATGGGAGGGAGAGGGGATTATTGAAAACCTCGGTTAAAACTCTTTTAGTCTGGTGCAGTGCTTTTGAATGCTTCTTGGGCATGTCAGCTATTTGATGAGACATGCTTTATTGCTTTTCTACTTACATTTGCATAACCACTTTTAAGCAGAAAAACTGCATGATTTCAAACTTGATTATTAAAAAACCTTTTAAAATATTACTGTTGTGTCATTGACTAATTTTTCTAGCACAAATATTGGTAGAAAAGAAGAACATTGAGAAATTCTCAGGGCAATTTATACAGCATTTTGTTTCCTCTTTAGGCAATGATGCAACATCAATTGTCAACTGTCTTCATATTTTGGGTCAGACTTTGGATGCAAGGTAAATGGATACATTTTTACCTAAATAAATTACTATAATAATGATACATGTATATATATAAGAATATTAAGAAGGACCCAGTGTCTGGATTTTATTCTTTGGATTTGTAATAAAGTCTTTAGTGTAGGTGAAAAGAAAAACTTTTTAAAATTAATACAGTGGCAGCTTATGTCTATGATCATATATAGATTATTATTTAATGTCAGGTAATTTCTGTAGCAGCTAGGACCATAAAGGAGGGTTGAACT